>NW_017852931.1:0-156998 GCF_000001405.40 Homo sapiens
TGGGGGGCTCAGCCCCCCACCCGGCCAGCCGCCCCGTCCGGGAGGTGGGGGGCGCCTCTGCCCGGCCACCCCTGCTGGGAAGTGAGGAGCCCCTCTGCCCAGCCAGGAGCCCCTCTGCCCGGCCAGCCGCCCCGTCCGGGAGGTGAGGGGTGCCTCTGCCCGGCCGCCCCTACTGGGAAGTGAAGAGCCCCTCTGCCCGGCCAGCCGCCCCGTCCGGGAGGGAGGTGGGGGGGGTCAGCGCCCCCTCCCGGCCAGCCACCCCATCTGGGAGGGAGGTGGGGGGGTCAGCCCCCCGCCCGGCCAGCCGCCCCATCCGGGAGGGAGGTGGGGGGCTCAGCCAGCCGCCCCATCTGGAGGGAGGTGGGGGCCACCTGGCCAGCCACTCCGTCAGGGAGGGAGGTGGGGAGGTCAGCCCCCCGCCCGGCCAGCCACCCGGTCCGGGAGCTGAGAGGCTCCTCTGCCCGGCCGCCCCTACTGGGAAGTGAGGAGCCTCTCTGCCCGGCCACCACCCCATCTGGGAGGTGTACCCAACAGCTCATTGAGAACGGGCCATGATGACAATGGCGGTTTTGTGGAATAGAAAGGCAGGAAAGGGGGGGAAAAGATTGAGAAATCGGATGGTTGCCGTGTCTGTGTAGAAAGAAGTAGACATGGGAGACTTTTCATTTTGTTCTGTACAAGTACTAAGAAAAAGTCTTCTGCCTTGGGATCCTGTTGATCTATGACCTTACCCCCAACCCTGTGCTCTCTGAAATATGTGCTGTGTCCACTCAGGGTTAAATGGATTAAGGGCGGTGCAAGATGTGCTTTGTTAAACAGATGCTTGAATGCAGCAGGCTCCTTAAGAGTCATCACCACTCCCTAATCTCAAGTACCCAGGGACACAAACACTCTGCCTAGGAAAACCAGAGACCTTTGTTCACTTGTTTGTCTGCTGACCTTCCCTCCACTAGTGTCCTATGACCCTGCCAAATCCCCCTCTGTGAGAAACACCCAAGAATGATCAATAAAAATAAATAAATAAATAAAATTAAAAAAAAAAAAGAAATAGAAAATGATAATACTAAGTGTTGGAAAAGATGTGGAGCAACTAGGACTCATACACTGCTGGTAGAAGTGTAAAATGTTATAACCACCTTGGACAAGAGTTTGGCAGATTCTTACAAAGTTAAATATATACTTACCAGTAATTTCACTCCTAGATATTTGCCCAAAATAAGTAAAAACTTATGTTGACATCGAAAGACATGGACACAAAAATTTATAGCCATTTTATTCATACTAACTAGTAACTGAAAATAATACAAATATCCATTAACTGGTGAATGGATAAAAATTATGATATATTTACACAATGGACCACTACTCAGAAATAAAAAGAAATGGCATCACAATATGAATGAGTTTCAAAAACATTATACTGAGCAAAAAGCCAGAAACAATAGATTGTATAGTGTATCATTTCATTTATATGGCATTATAGAACAGGCAGTAGTAATCCATGATGGTAGAAATCAGATCAGTGATTGCTTAGATCTGAGAGTAGAGGGTTATTGTCTGCAAAGGGGCACAAAAGGAACTTTTGGAGTTGTAGAAATACCTAGGAATCCAACTTGCAAGGGACGTGAAAGACCTCTTCAAGGAGAACTACAAACCACTGCTCGATTAAATAAAAGAGAACACAAACAAATGGAAGAACATTCCATGCTCATGGGTAGGAAGAATCAATATCGTGAAAATTGCCATACTACCCAAGGTAATTTATAGATTCAATGCCATCCCCAGCAAGCTTCCAATGACTTTCTTCACAGAATTGGAAAAAACTACTTGAAAGTTCATATGGAACCAAAAAAGAGCCCACATTGCCAAGTCAATCCTAAGCCAAAAGAACAAAGCTGGAGGCATCACGCTACCTGACTTCAAACTACACTACAAGGCTACAGTAACCAAAACAGCATGGTACTGGTACCAAAACAGAGACATAGACCAATGGAACAGAACAGAGCCCTCAGAAATAATGCCGCATATCTACAACCATCTGATCTTTGACAAACTTGACAAAAACAAGAAATGGGGAAATGATTCCCTATTTAATAAATGGCACCATTTATTAATTCCCTACTTAATAAATGGTGCCATTTATTAATTCCCTATTTAATAAATGGTGCCATATGTAGAAAGCTGAAACTGGATCCCTTCCTTACACCTTATAAAAAAATTAATTCAAGATGGATTAAAGACTTAAATGTTAGAACTAAAACCATAAAAACTCTAGAAGAAAACCTAGGCAATACCAGTCAGGACATAGGCATTGACAAGGACTTCATGTCTAAAACACCAAAAGCAATGGCAACAAAAGCCAAAATTGACAAATAGGATCTAATTAAACTGAAGAGCTTCTGCACAGCAAAAGAAACTACCATCAGAGTGAACAGGCAACGTACAGAATGGGAGAAAATTTTTGCAATCTACTCATCTGACAAAGGGCTAATGTCCAGAATCTAAAATGAACTCAAAATTACAAGAAAAAAAAAAAACAACCCCATCAAAAAGTGGGCAAAGGATATGAACAGACACTTCTCAAAAGAAGACATTTATGCAGCCAAAAGACACATGAAAAAATGCTCATCATCACTGGCCATCAGAGAAATGCAAATCAAAACCACAATGAGACAGCATCTCACACCAGTTAGAATGGCGATCATTAAAAAGTCAGGAAACAACAGGTGCTGGAGAGGATGTGGAGAAATAGGAACACTTTTACACTGTTGGTGGGACTGTAAACTAGTTCAACCATTGTGGAAGTCGGTGTGGCAATTCCTCAGGGATCTAGAACTAGAAATACCTTTTGACCCAGCAATCCCATTACTGGGTATATACCCAAAGGATTATAAATCATGCTGCTATAAAGACACATGCACACATATGTTTATTGCGGCACTATTCACAATAGCAAAGACTTGGAACCAACCCAAATGTCCAACAATGATAGACTGGATTAAGAAAATGTGGCACATATACACCATGGAATACTATACAGCCATAAAAAATGATGAGTTCATATTCTTTGTAGGGACATGGATGAAGCTGGAAATCATCATTCTCAGCAAACTATCACAAGGACAAAAAACAAAACACTCCATGTTCTCACTCGTAGGTGGGAATTGAACAATGAGAACACATGGACACAGGAAGGGGAACATCACACACCAGGGCCTGTTGTAGGGTGTAGGGAGAGGGGAGGGATAGCATTAGGAGACATACATAATGTTAAATGACGAGTTAATGGGTGCAGCACACCAACATGGCACATGTTTACATATGTAACTAACCTGCACGTTGTGCACATGTACCCTAAACTTAAAGTATAAAAAAAAAAGTGCTACATGTTAAGGTTCTATGAGTATACATATTTTATTTAAAAAATCATTGAACTGTAAACCTAAAATAATCACATTTTATCATATGTAAACTATATCTCATATTTTATTTAAAACAGAAGTAGATACTGTTTTCAATGTTTTAAAATATTTAATCAAGACAAGCAAACAAATCTGATTAGAGCTCAGTAAGTGGAGAGAACATGATCACACTTTTTCTTTATATTGGATGCATTGATGTCCTCAGCATAAAGACTGTAAGTTTATTTAGTAATTCTTATCTATTATTTAAGGTCACACGGTTAATTTTTAAAGCTTCACATGACAACACTAAACAATAAACTAGTTTAAAAGTTGGCATCTGCATTGTGGATTTAATATAATAATGTGTGCTCATCATGACAAGCCAAACAATACAGAAATGTGTACATATATAAATAGTCCCTAACTCTCCTGTATGTGTGTCCAACCCTCCCTCTTCATTCCCAAACTTTTAGAAAAACAACAGAAGCAATTTTCTATGTGTTCTGCCATACCCTCTCCCTGTTATGTCAACACATACAAACATCCATTTATATTAAGAAAGGAAGAGAGACTTGAGCTAGCATGTGAGCACATGCAATGTAATTATTATTTAAAATAAAAAAGTTTAAGTTAATATTAACAAATTCAACTTACAATTTTTTAAAGTTGCATAGCTTTCCAGAGACTGGTTGTACCACAACGTATTCAACCATCTCCATGTTGATGAACATTCAGATTTTCTTTTCTATTTTTGCTAATACTAAGGATGCTCAGAGTGCCAAGTTTATAGTTTATGCTCAACAAATATTTATGAATCAAGGAATGAATGCTGGAATAAATGTCTTTATTCTGAAATCCATAAGGAAAAGAGCATATCAGAAAACACTCTTTATCTCCTCCACTTCATTCTATTTGTGGCTTTCACTTAACCTTGTCATAGGCATTTAACAGTGAAAACAGAGATTTTCAATGTTAAAAAATTCAGCACCAAATCATACATGACATACCAAAGTTTGAAATGGAAGAAAGTGGAGTTGTCCTGGCTGAAATGGAGTGAAAGGGTGAGGCTCCACTCCAGCAACCCAGGGACATCTTGTCAAGTTCTGCAGAAGAGGATTTGAAGTCCAGTGATCTACAACTCAGTTAATTTATCCTACTCTCCCATTACTATTTCTGAGGTCAATGCCTGAACTTGAGAGAATTCTAATGCTGTTTTAATGGCTATGAGGTTGTTTTTTCAGTGAAAATGCTCCCAGTAAAATCACAAAGATCTAAACCAGAGTTTTGGTTCTATTTCTTAAGCAATGTTGCTACTAATTGCTAAAATGAAAGGATGTGATGTATAAGCACCATAAGTACTATGTAAATATTACATTTGACTCAGAATTTAGAAAGAAAATCATAATACTGTACCTTACTATTCACTATACATAATTTTGGAAAATGTGATGAAGACAGTGTTCAGTTTGAGTTAGTGCAGGAGATGCTATAAGTATGTATTGTGTTTCATATAGAACAAAAGTTGATGGCCTGTTAGTACATAAAGACAAAAATTACTTGTCTATGCTTATATGATATAAACATAAAACGTATTTAAAATAGCTTTCTTTTTTTTTTTTTGACATGTTTTCATCTGATAAAATAGCTTTCCGATAGAAACTTCATTCAGTTTCAACTGGAGAACATCTAGATGTTTTCTTTACGCAGATCTGTATATTTCCTGATTCAGTTTCAGTGTGTATTTTCAGGGAAAACGACTTAATTTAAGTATTGAAGAAGTATTTGCTGTTCAGCCATGTAACAATGATGTCCTCCTTACCACCGTTAGGAGGCTCTCGGACCTATCTCTGCAAAAGCTAGGAAAATTGAGTAAAACAGACGTGATCCCTATTCTCCTAGAAGTTTATAATTAGACTCTATACATACATATTGTCAATTATCTAGATTTGCCAAATACAACAGTCTCCTGACAGCACCACAGCTCTGGCCATATTACATCACCCAGTGTAATTATTATTTAAAATAAAAAAGTTTATATAATGTATGGATTTTATACCCTCAAAGCCACCCTTTTCTCTTCCACAGTGTTAAAGGGATTACACTATTTTTATTCATTCAACAAAGATATAGTACTTGTTGCTATGTGTCAACACTGTTTTAGTGATGGGGATATGGCAAGAGAGCTTACATCCTAGTAAGCAAAGTACATATCATACACGCACAACAAATTAATATAATATTAGGTAGCGATTTATTATATTGTCAAGGTAGAGATAAGTGACATGAAAACTACAGCATTTAATATAATGTCATTTAATATTAATATAATTTAATATATTAAATTTAATACAATGTCATTTAAATAGGTCAGGTAGACATTAATATTTAATGGCATGAAAAAATACAATAGAATAGGGAAATAGAAATTGATGTGGGAGTGGCAGTGACAGATGCTTTTTTGTTTTTTTTAGACAGAGTCTCTCTCTTTCACCCAGGCTGGAGTGCAGTGGCATGATCTCGGCTCACTGCAGCCTCTGCCTCCCGGGTTCAAGCAATTCTTGTGCCTCAGCCTCCTGAGTAGCTGGGACTACAGGAGTGCGCCACCACGCCTGGCTAATTTTTGTATTTTTGGTAGAGACGGGGTTTCACCATGTTGTCCAGGATGGTCTCGATCTCCTGACATTGGGATCCGCCCATCTCGGCCTCCCAAAGTGCTGGGATTACAGGCGTGAGCCACTGTGCCCGGCGAGAGATGCTCTTTTAAATAGGATAATCCTTGAAGACTTCTGTACATAATATCTGAATAAAATTGTGAATTAAGTGGGGTTACGTTATGTGAGGGTCTGCTGGAAGTACATTTTTCTTGGCAAGATGAATAGCAACTGAGTAAATGTTGAGAATACAAGTATGTTTTATTTCAAGAACAGTCAAGAGACTTGGTGTCTGGAACCAAGTGCTTAAAAGGAAGCACATAGGAGATACGTTCAGAGTCAGGCAGGGGCCACATCATGCAGGTCTTACACAGGGCAGGCATGATTTGGGATTTTACTATGAATGAAACAGGAAGTCATGTGGATGCTATACTATAGGTAGGCAAGAGTGGAAGCAAAACCAGCTAGGAGGCCAGTGCATAACAAGCTAAAGGGGATGGTGGTAGGCAGCAATGGAAGTGAGAAAAAGTAAACAGGTTGGGCTACATTTTGAAAACAGAGATGACAGAACTTGCTAATAGATTAGCTGCAGAGAGTGAGGGAAAGGAAAGAATGAATACTAAGTTTCTGACCTGTACAACTGGATGAATAGAGATGACCTTTACTGAGATGGAAAAGACTGGGGAAGGAGCTGATTGTGAAGGTTACTATGGATAGACGTCCCCTCCAAAACTCATGTTGAAATTTAATCCCCAATGTGGCAATATTGAGAGTGGGGGGCCTTTAGGAGGTGATTCACATGAGCTAGCATGTGAGCACATGCAGTCCCCTCAGCATGAGATGGCCTGCACCCGCCTCAGGATACTGCAGAGAGTTCCCACCAACAACAAGTCCTTCACTAGATGTGGCCCCTCAACCTTAGACTTCTCAGTATCCATAATTGTAAAAAAAAACCAGTCCTTTCTTTATAAATTACCCAGTTTCAGTTCTGTTGTAAGCGACAGAAAATGAACTAAGACATGGGGACAATCAATAGCTGTACTTAGGATTGTAAGTTGCCTGTCAGAAGATATGTCAGGTGGGCAGGTAGATATACAAGTCTGAAAACTGGTGAGGAGTTCAGAGTATTTAAATCTATAAAATTTGAAGAGAAACACAGGCCTCTGGTAGAGAAAAAAGAGAACACAACCAGCCGGGGCCCCAGGATGCTTCTACATTGAGAGGATCGGGAGCTGCCAGTGCATAGGAGCCAAATTAGGCACGGTGCCCTGGAAACCATGGGAAGGAATTGTTCCAAGATGAAGAGATTGTTTGGCTGTATCAAAAACTACATTTTGGGTAAATGAAAAAAAAAAGACGTTGTTGCTAAATTTGTCAAGGTAAACAGTGATAATGAGAATGGTGAAGTGAAGAGGTGGGTTGGAAACCCTGACAGGAATGTGCTGAAGATAAAATAAGAGGTGAAGAAGGAGCAGCTAGCAGAACCAGCTGTTCCAAGATGTTTGACTAGAACAATGGACTGCAAAAAGTGTGATTCCTGGAGAGGTATTAAGAGTTAGGGATGGTTTTCTTTTGTTTTGCTTTATTAAGAAGCGAGGACTGCAGAACTCTCAGCATGTAATGACTCCATCCAAACGTTTGCACCAGGAGACAACCCAACTCTAGCATGGCTCCTAGCAGCATAAGGCCCTGTCTCCTGGATGCTCCCTCCCCCTCCCCATGAAAATGTCTGCTTTTCTTAAAGTATTTTCTTAAAAGGGGTTACAACTGAGAATCCTTCCTCTTCTCTGTAAGATGTATATATGTCTCCCATAACTCAGGAGTGTCTTTCTCAAAGACAAGAATGCGCCTCAGGAAGAATGGAGCCTCTGTCTCCCAGTGTTTGTGGGAGGACGGAATCCTAACTTGGATAATTGCCAGGTGGAGTGCACAGCCGGCCCAATCGCACTTCCACTTGATCAACCTCTTGTAATTTTTTACTTCCCTGACTCTACTGAGCGTCTTCTCGCCCCCTCCCTACTCCCTTCACAACACCCAGTCACCTCTGCACAAACTGGAATTGAGCTCAGCCATTTCCCCTTTGTCAGCAATTACTGAAGAAGATCTGTTTTCACTGTTTTGACTAATGTCTGACCTTGTTTATCTTTGACAGTAGGGAGAGATTGCAGCATATGGGCAGGTGGACGGGATTACTCCAACAGAGGGAAGAATGATGTTACAGGAGAGAGACTAAGGTAATTTGGAGACTTGAGACCTTGAGTAGGCAAGGGTCCCTGTATATGGCCTGAGATTGGCAGTCCATCAGCTGCATGAGGAACGCAGTCTAGGGCTTCGGGTCCCAGTAGGATAGTAGGGTTAATGGCAGAGAAACCTGGAAATTTTCTCAGGAATGCTTCTAGATTTTTAACTGAGGTAAGGGGCTAGGCCATAAACTGAGAGTGACGAAGAGAAGGAAGCTTTTAGAAGTTTGAGGAAAAGAGAACATTGTGAAATAGTTGTCTGAGAAAGTGGGAAAGCAAATTGGCAAAGGAAATGCTTTGTTCTCTATCACTACAACCACTGTCAAAGTCCCAGGATAATAAGACTCACAAGTGAGATGATTGTTTCTCGCTTTATACATAAAGTGCTGTGGCTGCCTGGCGAACAGCCTTTCTCTGGCCCAGCCTTTCTTTGTTTTTAGACCTAAGCCTGCCTCCCACTACTGGTGCTGAAATTCCAGACACTTGCTTTCCTACTAGTCTTTCTTTCAACTAAGTCTTCGCTTATTATCTGTTTTGGCCAAGGAGACCGGAAAAGAAATCCATTCTCAGGGGTGGGACTCTTTTTGGAATTATTTTCTTCACTGATCAGAGGGAGATGCTCTAGGAGAAGTGCCTGCTCCTGTCTCGTGGCCTTTGAATTCTGTGATGTGGGGTGTGGGGTGCGGCTGTGACAGCCACCTCACAAGGGTGAGTAGAAGCAGAGACTGTGCAGACTCGGTGGATCCAGAGATCTGCACTGTGAACCTGCTGACACCTCTGCCCTGGAATTGTGTTACTTTAGTTTTATTGACCTTTAACCACTTTTAACTCAGTGTTCTTTTACTTGAAACCAAAGCATCCCAGCAGATACAAAATGTGGCTACAGGTAGATAAATTAGGAAATTAGGCCACAACCAGTGATATTCAGAACATATAATAGACCAACATCACAATTATATTGTTCTTTTAAATGTTGAGTCAGAGTAAGGCAAATGGTTTAAATACTTTGAATTCTTCTACATTATATAAATAGAAAATCTAATTTACTATACTGAATTGTTAGTATTCCACCTTTAAATTTCATAGTATATCACACAAGGTCTAATATTAACATACCCTAAATTCACTCAATTTATATATGCATGCATTCTATAGCTGAAAGTAATAGTTTGAATAGAGGAGAGATATATGTGTGAGATACTTTTACTTATAATTGTTTTAAGGAAGACATTATTATTGAAATTATAATTGCCAGAGATCACTAAGCTTAAGATCTAAAGTTGGAGGAACATAGCCTATGATGTTGAGCTGCTATTAAAGAACAATGGTATTTTTCCACAATCCTTTCCTGTTTCTCTGCTGTGAGTAAATCATCGTTATCGAAATATAAGGATCTCTGTGGATTTCACAGAAGATCAGTATTTCTCTAAGCCTACATGCCTTTAATTTTAGATTAAATACTTGTGGGGATTGTGGGAGTGGGGATAAAGAAACTTATAACAACAACAACAAAAAAACCCTGGACTAGTGTGGTTTCCTAGCGCACTTGGCTACTACCACCTAGCTCTACTGAGTTTCTGATGTTGGATAGAGCATTATAATTATGAACATATTGCAATCTTCAGAATGCCCTTTACAGTCTCATAAAAGAAGACTTGTTAACTATATTTAAGGATAAACACCTTTTGAAAAAGGAGCACTTCCTTTCTTTAAGGTGTTATAAAACCCCTATCAATCTCAAAAGAAATTACCTACAGAGGTAGAGAAGAAAACAATCCCCTTTATGGTAAACTGCTTTTCTTCAATGAGTTAGAATGCCTCAGCTATTGAAAGCTTTATAGCTTTATTTGTTGGAAACATGGCAGAAAGAACTCATATAAATTCTATTCGTATAAACTACTGTCTCTATTGCTACAAGTGTTTTAGCTGATGTTTCATGTATTTAATCTTTATGTAGTGTCCCATTAATGCCAAAAAGAATTGCATAGACAGAATGAGATCACCTCCGTGAGTTTTCTAAGGAACAGATTTAGCATAGAAATACTTGCCAAGAATAATCCACAACAAGCTCTGGGAAATCAGTTTTGGAATTAAAAGTCACAGCCAGTTCAGCCTTTTATTTTTTTGCATTTGTAGTCCCCTAGATTAAATTATGGAGAATGTGAATCCTTGAAAGAAGAATTCATGTCAGAATTGTGTTTTCATAATACTCTCTGGGATGTACATTTGTTTACTTGGGCTAGTTTGCAACAATGTAAAGTTTTAAAGGTTAAATTGAGAAAATTCAAAACTAGGACAACCTGTGATTATGTATTTTATTCCCTGACACTTCAATATTTTATAAGAATAAAATTTAGAGGAGGCAGAATCACAGTAAACAATTAAATTTTTTCTTACTGCATCTCAATAAGACCACTGGCAACCCAACCACCTAAACATCTAGGTGAAGAAAATGTCTAACTTTTTACGGATCTATCAACATGTTTCAAATTATATAGCATTTATATTTTTAAAAGAATTTCATTTCTTAGAATTTATAATCCTCCAGAACTAGGTCCAAATATTTTGCTACATTAGCATTGTTATTAATAACTGAAAATAGGAAGTAGGGAGAATTATCTAAATTGTTAATAAAAGAAAATTTGGCCAAAGAAGAAAGTAGTAAAACTGTACATTGGAATACTATGTATACGTTAAAACTTACTGAACAGGCCGGGCACGGTGGCTCACGCCTGTAATCCCAGAGCTTTGGGAGGCCAAGGCAGGTGGATCACTTGAGGTCAGGAGCTCAAGACCAGCCCGGCCAACATGGTGAAACCTCGTCTCTACTAAAAATACAAAAACTAGCCGGGAGTGGTGGCAGGTGCCTGTAATCCCAGCTACTTAGGAGGCTGAGGCAGGAGAATCACTTGAACCTGGGAGGCGGAGGTTGCAGTGAGTGGAAACCAAGCCACTGGACTGCAGCCTGGGTGACAGGATGAGACTCTGTTCAAGAAAAAAAAAAGAAAAAAACTATTGAACAAAACCTTAAATGACATGGAAATATATTTGCAATACATTATTAAGTATACAAGCATGTGACAATACACTATATAAAATACTATGTGCACTTGTGTATTGTTGGAGTAATGGCTGTCTCTCCCACCCGGGAAAAAACTTCGTTTTGTTCATTATGTCCAGTACAATGCCTGGCACATCGTAGTCAATGAGTAAATATTTGTTTATGTATAGTGTGTATTTCCCTCCCCTGGTAATGAGATTACTGAGATTTGTGATTAATGAGATACATAAGATTATTTTCTTCTTATTTTTTATGTTTTTCTAAAATTTTTCACAATGAGTATGCGTTTCTTTTATAAATACCAAGCTACAATGCAGGTTTGCCATCTGTATATTTCACATAATTCCTTTTTCTGCCATCATTTAGAACAATATATGTCACTAATTCAAATGAGTTTAACTTCCAACCTGAAATATAAAAGAGATCAACAAAGGAAAGACGAAGTAGAAGAACAATGCATAGCAAATCTGCTGCTGAGGCAGCCCCTGGAAGTTTCTGCCTTTATATTTGTGTTGGCAGAGGTGAATTTTTAAAAAATGTAAATTGAGCTTTCATTTCCTCAGAAACCTCTTGAACAAGATCTTCTTGTTTATATTTGTCCACTACTGCCTTCTCTCTGCTTTGTTTTGATCTTTAAAGTCAACTTTATTGATGAATTGCACTCATTTTAAATGTACAGTGTAATTAGTTTAACAACTGTATAATGTACACCTGTGTAACTATAGCCAGAATCGAGATTTAAGACACATCACCCCAAAAATCCTCCTATGACCCTTTCCATTCAACCCCTTTCTCTACTATGGCCACCATTTTCTGATCAGCTTTCAGTACTTATAGATTCATTTTGCCTGTCCTAATATGTAAAAAGACTCATACATACAGTATGTACTTTTTTTAAGTACAACATTTTTTGCTTAATTTTTTGAAATTTATCTATACTTTTGCATATATTGACAGTTCATTGCATTTTATTGCTGCATAGTCTTCCATTGTGAAGATACCCAATAGTTTCTGTGATAAATTCCCATTTGATGGATTTTGTAGTTGTTTTCAGTTTGTAGCTATTATAAATAACATCTATATGAATATTTAAAAACAGATTTTGTGTGGGTATGTGTTTATTTCTTTTTGCATAAATATAAATATCTAAGAGACCACTCGTTCAGCTCTATGATATATTTAATTGTATAAGAAACGACCAAAACATTTTCCAGTGTGCTTGTAACATAGACATTCCCTCCAATAACATGAGAGTTCTCGTTGCCTTATATTCTTGTCAACACTTGATATTGCCTTTTCAATTCTAGCAATCCTAATGGGTGTATTCTGGTATTTCAGTGTGGTTTTAATTTGCATCCATTAAGATATTCATATATTTTCCCTTTATTCTGCTAATGCGGTGAATTACACTGGTTAATTTTCAAATGTTAAACCAACTTTATATATGTGAGATACGCTCTATTTCTTAATGATTTTTTAACCTTTTAATATGTTACTGGATTCATTTTGTTAAAGATTTCATATGTTTAGGCTGTAGTGTCTTTGTCTAGTTTTGCTATCATGATAAATCTATCCTTATTAAATGAGTAGGGATGGGTTCTTCTTTTACTTAAAGCAGTTTGTGTAGGATTAGTAACATTTACAGGTGAAGCCATCTGGGCCTGTGTTGTTCTTTGTAGTGGCTATAAGTTTATTCAGATGTTTTATTTCTTCTATTCTGAATTTGGGCAATATATGTCTTTAGATAATTTCATTTCATCCAAGTGATTGAATGTATAAAAGAGCATAAAATTGCTCATAATACCTCTATTAACCTTGTAATATTTGCAAGGTCTGTAGTGATATCTCCTTTTAGATTTCCGATATTACTAATTTATGTCTCTTCTTTTTGCACTACTAGTCTATAATTTATCAATTTTATTGATCTTTTAAAAGAGCCAACTTCTTGTTTCATTAGTGTTCTTTATTTTGTATTCTTCTTTCTTGCTTTCTTTTTTTTGGATTTATATTGCTCTTCATTTGCTAACTTTCTTGGGTCATTGATTTTAGATCTTTTGTGTTTTCTAATGTAATCATTTAAAACTTTTAATTTTCTGACTCAATGCTATCACATAAATTTCTCTGTGTATTTTTTCTTTTTATTTAGTTCAAAATATTTTCCAATTTCCCTTCTCTTTACTTTTTAACCCATGTGTTAATGAGAGTAGTATCATTTAATTCCCAAATACTTGGAGATTTTCCAGATTTTTAAAAATTTATTTCTAGTTTAATTTTATTGTGGTCTGAGTACATGTTATGCATGATTCCAAACTTTGGAAATCCATAGATTTTTTTTAGTTACTTTTATGGTCTAGCAAGTGGTCTATCTTGGTTAACAGTCTAAGTGCACTGAAAAATATGATGTTATCTGCCTTATTGGGTGGAGCGTTCTATAAATGTCAACTAAGTCTAGCTGATTAATATTGTTCAAATATTTTATGTATTTCCTCATTTTTTGTCTATTTATTCTAACAATGACAGAGAGAGGGGTGTCAAAATCTTCATCTACTCATAAATTTGTCTGTTTTTTTTTTTTCAGTTCTTTCAGTTTTTATTCCATGTATATTAATGGTCTTTAATTAGGTGCATATATATTAAGGATTGTTATGTCTTCTTAAGGAATTAACTTTTTACCATTATAAAATGTCCCTCTTTATTATAGATAATATTTCTTGTCCTAAGTTCTGCTTTGTATAATAGGAGTATAACCCCTCCAGTTTTCTTGTGATAAACATTTACATGGTATATATTCTTCTGAAGTAAGGCTCCTCACACTTGAGGAGTGGGTCTGCCCACTCCTGCGGGGGTCTGCCCACAGACCCTGACCCAAACGATGGATGAATAAAACGTACACTGACACACAGATACTCTGTTTTGCCAGTCCAGCTCAGTGTCCGACAGCCTGCACACCAAGAGAGTCTTGTGACTGCAGCTGGCCCTGAGCAGCTCACACTCCAGGCATTAATTTCATATACAATTAACAACAGAAGCTCTGAGTCAACACACTTGTGGATAATTAACATGGTTAAGAGAGTAGGTCTACGAATGATTAAAGCTCAGGTACAGTGGTCTAAAGTAAATACTATTGGGGGCAATATCCCTAGTCGACCTCCTCCTGAGAGGGCTATCTGGCTCAAAGGTTGGTTAATGGAGGTAGGGTAAGCAGACTTAACTGGGGAAGCCTCTGTTGTCCCTAGTATTTACCCTATGACCTAATGCTCTAAGGTAAGAACCGGCTGCCTTCAGCCTGTTCAATTATTACAAGCTATGTAACCTTTCTGCCTTCCAAAAGGTTTGTGACTATTCCCTATAACTTTCCCTAATATTTCCCTTTAATATTTCTGCCACCATTCTGATTGAATCCCAACATTCTTCTATCATTGTTTTAAATTGAACTGTTTTTTTAAAGTGCATTTCTTGCAGATAGCATATACAGTTGACCCTTGAGCAATGTGGGTTTGAACTACATAGGTGCACTAATACATGGAGTTTTTTCAATAAATATATTGGAAAATTTTTTGAAGATTTGTGACAATTTGAAAAAACCGGTGAAACACATAGCCTAGAAATATTAAAAAAAAATTAAGAAAAAGTTAGGTACCTCATGAGTGACTAAAATAAATGTAGCTATTAGCCTATTTTATCATTTACTACCACAAAGTATACACATATCTATAATAAAAATTAAAGTTTATCAAAACTTACACAAACACAGACCATACATGGTGTCATTTGCAGTCAAAAGAAATGTAAACAATTTAAAGATTCTGTATTAAATCATAACTGTATGAAATTAACTGTAGTTCATACTGTAATAATTTCCTAGCCACCTGCTATTGCTGTTGTGGCGAGCTCAAGTGTTACAGATCTCTGCTTAAAATGCCATGTGATGTAGTCAACTCCACCTGAGCAACTTATCTCTCTAGTAAAGAGCATATCACCATGAAAATGGTCTTTCACAGTTCTTGTGCATTTTTAAAATCATGTTTTGTACAATATCTTAAACCTTTAGTAACATCATGGGACCCATACAAAGTGCCACCAGTGATGCTGGCAGTGCTCCTAAGAAAAGTCATGACATGACAAGAAGAAGTTGAATTGCTTGGTAGGTACTGTAGATTGAGGTCTGCAGCTGTGGTTGCCGCCAGTGGTTGCCACGAGTTCAGACAGGATATTCATCTTGTAAACAGACCATAGAGCTCACAGTATCAATACAGTATACTACTCTTCCTTGTGACTTTCTTAATAACATTTTCTTTCCTTTCCTCTAGCTGACTTTATTTTAAGAAAACGGTATATAACACATATACAAAATATGTGTTAATTGACCATATTATCTATAAGGCTTTGGTCAACAGTAAGACAGTAGTAGTTAAGTCTTTGGGGAGTGAAAAGTTATATTTGGATTTTTTACTGTGTAAGGGTTGGTGGCCCTGACCCCACATTGTTCATCTGTAGTTAGGTTCTGCTTTTTTTTATTCCATCTATAAATCTCTGTCTGCTAATTAGAGTGTTTAGACCACTTTTATTCAATGGAATTATCAATTATCAATTATTCAATGACTGGTTCCAAGACCATCTTGCCATTTGTTTCCTATTGATCCCATCTGTTTGGTTCCTTCCTGCCTGACTTCTTGGATTTAGTACTTTTTAATTTTTAGTATTTGATCTCTACTATTGGCTTATTAGCTATGACTTGTTACATTTTCCATTGTTTATTCTAGGGTTTACAATATACCTCTTCAAATTATTATCATCTACCTTCAAATGATATTATATCAGTTTCTGTATACTGTAAGCAACTTAGAAAAATAGTTCCTTTCCCTCTTCTCACTCTTTGTGCTATTGTTGCTATACATGTTGCTTCAACACATGTTAGAAACCCTTCAATACACTGTTGTTAATTTTTTCTTAAAGTCAGTAAGTTTTTTTAATTTAAAGGAAAATATTCTTTTGTGTCTACCCATTTTTCAGCTATTTTAAACACTCTTCATTCCTTTGTGTAGATTCAAGTTTTCATTTGGTATAGCCTTTCTTGAGTCCAAAAAGTTCAGGACATCTCTTACAGGCAGGTCTTCTGGTAAAAAAAAAAAAAAAAAAAAAAAAAAAAGAAGTCTCTCACCTTTTGTTTATCCAAACAGTGTTTTTATTTCACTATCATTTTATAGGATATTTTCACTGAATATAGAATTCTAAGCTGCAATTATTTTACTTTCAGTTATTTAAAGCTGGTTTCATAGTTTCCTGGCTACAATGTTTCTGATACGAAGTTCTGAGTTTATTCTTATATTTGTTCCTCTGTATATAATGTCTGATATTATCTGTCTGCTTTTAAGGTTTCTTTATTTTTCCTTTTCAGCAATTTGATGATTATGATGCACCATGGGTTCATTTTCTTCGTGTTTTTCATGCTCGATCTTCTTGGATATGTGGATTTCTGGTTCCCAACAAACTTGAAAAATGTTATGACTATTTTGTCTTCTTTTTTTTTCTGTTACTCCCCCTTCTTTCGAGGTTCTAATTGCACACATATTAGAACATTTGCTGTTATCCTAAAGTTGAATAAGGCTCTATTCTTTTTTTATTTTTCCTGGTCTTTTCTTTTTTCTATTTTTGGGCAGTTTCTATTGTCTATAATCAAGTTAATTGATTTTCTTCTGCAGTGTCTTTTTCTGTGAACTTTATGTTGAACATTGACTTTTTCATATCTAAGCATTCCATTTATTTGTTTATCTTCCATTTCTCCTCATTGTATTGATTTATTTAAATTCTTAAGCATATTCTTAATAACTATTTAAAGTTCTTGTCTGATCATTCCATTATTTCTGTCATTTTCAGGTCTCGATTCATTTCTCTTCTGGTCATATTTTCCTTCTTCTTCACATGCCTAATACTACATGTACTAGGGTTACATTACATGTACTAGTGTTACATTATTGAGTGTTTGAATTCAGGTATTTGTTATTTTAACAGTATTGACTTTGTTTGAAGTGGCAGATAACTTTTGGATCAACTTAATCCTTTGGAAGCTTGTTTTGAAGATTTGCAGCGGTAGTCTGGTAGAGTCTTTAATCTAGAACTATTTGAGCTCCACTACAAAACCTAACCCTTTCAGAGCTCTGTTGAATGCCTTGGATATTTAACTATGTCTCTTCATTCTGGATGGCTGTAGTTTTAAGGTCTATCAGCCCTTAGTGAGCTCTGTTTTTGTCTAACTTTGTGGACTTTGTCTATGTATGCACAGCCTAGAATTCAACAACAGAATCAAGAGATGCCAGGAAGATTTCTTTGTTTCTGTGTACTCCCTCTGTTCTGCAAATTTTAATGCCCTCAGAAGCCTGGGACTCTAATCTCTGTCTTCTCAATACACTTAAAACTCCATGCCCTCCCCAAATTCTCCCTTCCTGCACTACTTTCTAGAAAGCGTCCCAAGGCAGAAAGCCAAGTAATAAATGACTCACTTCATTTCATTTCCTCAGGGATCATAGTCTTGGGCTGCGTGTTGTCCAATGTCTGAACACTGTTGTTTCATGTATTTTGTCAAATTTTCAAATTGTTTATGAAGAGGGGGCAAGCCCAATACCATTTATTCTGCCATAGTTGAAGTTTAGTCTCTACTTTGCTACAATTTTGACTTTTGTTTTTCCAAGACAGACCTGCGAGGAGGCAGCCCTGACATAATTTGCCAGTGGACTGTTGATGAAAAAAGTCAAACTCTGTAAAATATTTGAAGAGATTTATTCTAAGCCAAATATGAGTGACCATAACCCTAAACAAAGCCTTCAGGAGGTCCTGAGCACATGTGCCCAACCAAGGTGGTAGGGGTGCAGCTTGGTTTTCTCCATTTTAGGGAGGCATGAGACATCAGTCAAATACATTTAAGAAACATACTGGGGCCAGGCGCAGTGGCTTATGTCTGTAATCCCAGCACTTTGGGAGGTCAAGGCAGGTGGATCACTTGAGGCCAGGAGTTTGAGACCAGCCTGGCCAAATTGGTGAAACCCCCATCTCTACTAAAAATACAAAAATTAGCCAGGTGTGGTGGTGCATGACTGTAATCCCAGCTACTCGGGAGGCTGAGGCAGAATTGCTTGAACCTGGGAGGCAGAGGTTGCAGTGAGCCAAGATCATGCCACTGCACTCCAGCCTGGGTGACTGAGTGAGACCCTATCTCAAAAATAAAAAAAGAAAGAAAGAAAGAAATACATTGGTTTGGTCTAGAAAGGCAGGACAACTCAAAGTGGGGGTGGGGTGGGGTGGGTTTCCAGGCTATAGGTAAATTTAACATTTTCTGGTTGACAATTGGTTGAGTTTGTCTAAAGACCTGGGATCCATAGAAAGGAAATGTTCAGGTTAAGACGAAAGATTATGGAGACCAAGGTTCTTTTGAAGTCTTATACTGACTGCCCTTAGAGACAATAGATGACAAATTGTTTCTATTCAGACCTTTAAAAGATGCTAGACTCTTAGTTAATCTCTTGAGGACTGGGTGGTCCTAGAAGAAAAAGATCTAGCTATGTTAATAGAGATTCTTTACAGCTGCAAATTTTCCCCCACAAAGGACAGCTTTGCAGGGCCATTTCAAAATATGGGCAAAGAAATGTGTTTTGGGGTGAAATATTTTGACTTTCTTCTTTGTCACATAATGTTATACCAGAGTCAGATTGGAAAGTAAGTCATGACATATAGGGTTAAATAAAACCTCCTTGACAAGAATTTACAGTTTGTATGGCATGACTCCCCAGACCCTTAGATAGGAATCTGGGCAAGATAGAAAAGAAACAAACAAACAAACAAAAACAAAAAGCAGAGCTTAGTCCTGAGGATGATCACATTGATTCACTTTACTAAGGGAATGAGAAAGAGTAGCAAGAGAAGCCCAGCAAAGGCCTTGGAGAAGCCACAAGAGGCAACACAATGAGCACAAACTGGGGTGAGAACAATTCTAAAAGTTGTGATCAGAAGGGAACCGAGATAAAGCATATAGCCTGTTGGACATAAAATACTTCAGGAATAAATGCTCAGTGCCACAAAGTAAAGCCAGCACTCAGGCAAAAGTTTAATTCTCTCAGCAAGGCAATTTACTTCTGCAGAAGGGTGCCACTTGCATCAATCAAGATCACAAGAGCACAGGGAACAAAGGAGACTAGGGGGCTTTTATATTCTTAACGCAATCCCTACCTCTGTGTCCCTCCCGCATGGGCTGGGGTCAGACCGCACAATCTGAGCTGACCTGATTGGCTACTTGTACATATTTTTCTAAATATAGAAGGGGAGGGGGACGTGAGGTACAGAGGTGGAGCAGGTGAGACGTGCAGTTTCAGGGGCACAATGGGTGCAGGTAACCAAGGGAACAGATGTGCGTTATTGATTAGAGCTGACGGGAAAGGGGTAGGCTCTTTTACGGTAACTGGGGCAAGGAGGAACAGGAAAGTTGAGTTTGAGAACAAAAGACAAGGAAGTTAGCAGGACAAATTTTTGGAGAGAAACTTGGAGAAATTCATTGTATCTTACATAGCCAAAAGTGATCAGTTTATCAAAAAAAACTACAGCTTAGTAAAGTTCTTATTTGCTCATTGATACACAAATAATTAATATCAGAGAAGTATTCTAAGTCTTTGTCCAAAATTCTGTCTATAATAGAAACTGACAAGATCTTCAACAGCCCATAATCCTTAACAAGAAATCAAACTTATTCCATCCTAGGAAATGTTCTGGGGAAACTCTTGTCCACAAAGACTGTCTTAGTTCTGTAGCAATCCATGCTTTTAAACGGCAGGAAGACCCACCCAAGCCTCATTCCCAGTAATAGCTTGGTAGTCTACTAGACTTCCTCTTGAGTCTATGCTTGGAAGATATCACCTCTACTTTTTTTTTTTTTTTTTAAATAAAGAAGTCTGGCCGGGTGCACTGGCTCACGCCTGTAATCCCAGCACTTTGGGAGGCCGAGGCGGGTGGATCACGAGGTCAAGAGATCGAGACCATCCTGGCCAACATGGTGAAGCCGTGTCTCTACTAAATATACAAAAAATTAGCCGGGCAAGGTAGCGGGCGCCTGTAGTCCCAGCTACTCAGGAGGCTGAGGCAGGAGAATGGCTTGAACCCGGGAGGTGGAGATTGCAGTGAGCCCAGATCGCGCCACTGCACTCCAGCCTGGGCATCAGGCATCAGAGTGAGACTCTGTCTCAAAAAAAAAAAAAAAAAAAGAAGTCTGATCAGGCTAACAGATAACCAAAAGAGTGACCTGTGTCCTTCTGACCCTCATATAGACCATACCCTTCAGAAGGTCCTTAAATTCAACCCATTTGTCTACGACAATGGCAAGTAATTGAGAATCAGGAGTGGGCTAGCTTTTGGGGTCTCACCTTTAAATCTCTGAATTGACAGACTGAGTTTTGCAGAACCCTGCAAAGAGTAGGTCCAGTAGTTTTGATAGGCCTAATATGAAGTCTTCTTAAGAAGAATTCAGGTTTTTACTGGTCAGTGAATGTTTGGGTAAGTTGACAGCAAGGTGATATAATTCTAAAATTCAAAGGCAAAAATTAGGAGTTGGTGATCCTAAGTGCACTTTGTACCTTCAGTGTTGGGACTCAGAATTATTCATTTACTTGTCTACCTCCCCATCTCTTTATCAAAAGTGGGAGGCTGCTAGAGATCAGGGTTGGGATGTGCAAGGGTCCTGGTGTCAGCTGATGGGCTGCAGCTGGAAAAATCAAGTGGCACTGGGGCGGTTTGATTTGGTTCTGAAAAGAGGGAAAAATAACTTCTAAAAATAGATAAAGGAAAAAGTGAAGAAAGGCAGGATTTGTTTTCTTTTATGGTAGTGAATAAATTCTTGACTCTTCCTTCTTACCCTCAATCTCAGCATGCAATCAATTTATGATTCCTTTCACCCAAAATCTGTTATCTACTCTCAGTTCAACTTACAATCTTCTAATGCATGCCTGCTTATCTCTTGCCTGGACATTCGTGATAGTCTTATCTCTTGACCCTTATTCTTTTCCTTCTGCGGTTCATCCTCAATACTGCTGCTGTAAGTTAACTTGTCAAATCAATGCTCAGAAACCCTAAGTGGATTCCCATTACAAGTAAGATAATATCCAAACTTAACTTCATTCTAAGTCCTTAAAAATCTTCTCTCTCATCAATGCCTCCAGCTCAACAATGTGCCCCATGCTCCAGACTTAAATACCATTATCCCAATGTGCCATTCATGTTCCTTTTCTCTGGTTTTTGTTCCTAATATTGCCACTATCCATAAAGCCCTTTCATCTTTAGTTTCACAAGGTTCTATTTATTTTCAAGGTTCTTTTGGCCCATACTTCCTCAGTGAAGCCTGCTCACAACTTCCCAAGCAAGAACACCGTTTTTCTGAAATTATATAACTTTTTAACAACCACTAGAACACTTGCTACTGATTTAGTGTTCAGTGGGTCTGCCTACCTTCTACGTATCTTTATTTCTCTACCATGTAGCACACAGGAAGTGATCAATAATGTCTATTTAAATAAATCAAATTGCATAAGACTTCATGATTAAGGCACATAGTAATCTAAAATAGGTATGATTGATGCCTAGAATCCGTACAGATATATCACATTACAGGATACTTATGGAAGTACTTTGGCGATGTAGCTAATCAGCAGATTATGCAGGTAATGTGAGGGTGAGGGTGAATGGAGTTGATTCTTTTCATTAACTAGAATTATTGTAAAATGTAGTACTGGAAATGACTTGAAAAATCATCTAATCTCAGTATGATTTCAACTCTTATGCTTATACTAATTGTTTGGTGGAGGCTGCCTGGGATACTACATTAGGAATTCTGTGGCCATGCACAAAGGATGAAAATGCTCTGACATGTAAGTAATGTTTAACATGTGTATTTGTGAAAAGAGAGTGGAGGGGGTAAGTACTAGTGTGTAAATCTAATAGTTGCCAGCTCCTGTTGACTAGTCTATATGTTTCTTCAGGTCCACAATTTAAACAACTTAGAAATATCCATTTCTATCACATTTTTAAGACCTCCATATAAAAACAAAACAAATCCTGCTATATGATTTGCTGTAGTATATAATTTTTAATATACAAGGATTTGTGTCCTCTCTAATCCATAACTCTATGCTGTGGGTTAACAAAGCCTCCTCTAACTCTGCCTTTAGGGAACATGGAAGCCTGTGTTATCATTCATGTAGGAGCTAACTATGGTTTGGATATTTGTTCCCTACAAACTTCATATTAAAATTTGATCCCCAGTGTTGGAGATGGGACCTAGTGGGAGGTGTTTATATCATGGGGGTGGATCCCTCATGAATGGCTTGGTGCCATTATCTCAGGAATAAGTGAGTTTTTGCTCTATTAATTCCCACAAGAACTGGTTGGTAAAGCCTGGCACCTCCCTCCCCTTTCTCTTGCTTCTTCTCTTGCCATGTGATCTCTGCATGCTAGCTCCTCTTCACTCTCTGCCATTAGTGTTCCACTGAGAATAGCCTGAGCCCTCACCAGAAGCAGATGCTAGTGCCATGCTTTCTGTATAGCCTGCAGAACTGTGAGCTAAATAAGCCTCTTTTCTTTATAACTACTCAGCCTTAGGTCTTCCTTTATAGCAACACAAATGGACTAAGACAGAGCTCCTACAAACCTGAAGGTCACTGTTATTTTTCCCCACTATTTCTGTTTTTATCCATCCATTACCCCATTACCCGTCTGTATTAGTCAGGGTTCTCCAGAGAGACAGAACCAGTAGAATATATGAAAAAAGATTTATTAGGGAAAAATTGGCTCACACAATCAGAGAGGCAGAGAAGTTCTATGATAGGCTGGTTTGTAAGCTGGAGAAACAGAAAAGCCATTAGCATGGCTCAGTTCAAGTCTGAAGCCTCAGAACCACGGAATCTGATAGTGCAGCCTCCAGTCTGAGACCAGACCCCCAAGAGCCTCCAGGGGGCTGTGTGTGCAAGTCTCAGAATCCAAAAGCTGAAAAATCTGGAGTCTTATGTCCAAAGGCAGGAAAAGAAGCACACCTCTCCAGAAAGCAGAGAGAGAGAGCAGAGAGAGAGAGCAATCCTCCTTCTTCTGCCCATTTGTCCTAACCTCCAACAAATAGGATGGTGCCTGCCTGCACTGAGGACTGGCCTTCTCCTAGTCCATTGACTCACACATCAATCTCTTCTGGAAACACTGTCACAGACACACCCAAAAACAATGTTTTACCAGCCAACTAGGCATCCCTCTGTTCAGTCAAGCTGACCCCTAAAATTAACCATCACACCATCCATCTATCCATCCATCCAGTCTGTATTTTACTAAATGAGATGATAAAAATAACACAGTTGACCCTTGAATAACTCAGGGGTTGGTGTACTGACCCCTGCACAGTAAAAAAAATCCATGTATAACTTTTGAGTCCCTCAAAACTTAACCACAAATAGCTTATTATTGACCAGAAGCCTTAGGAATAAGAAACAGTCCATTAACACAAATTTTGTACATGTATTATACACTGTAGGCTTACAATAAAATAAGCTGGAGAAAAGAAAATGTTGTTAAGAAAATCATAAGGAAGAGAAAATATATTTACTATTCATTAAGTGGAAATGGATCATCATAAATATCTTCATCCTCATTGTCTTCACACTGAGTAGGCTGAGGAGGAGGAAAAGGAAGGGTTGGTCTTGCTGTCTCAGAGTAGCAGAGGTGGAACACACGGAAGAGGTAGAAGGCAAGGCAGAAGAGAAAGGCACACTTGGTATAAATTCTATTGAAAAAAAATCACATATAAGTAGACCCATGCAGTTCAAGGATCACCTGTATTGGAAAGGCACTGTGCAAAGGCTAAGAGGTGCTAGTGAGGACCTGCTAAGCATTGATTGGAAGGGGAATATTACTATCTTGGATCTACCAGTTGGCTCAGTGCTGCCTTACAACTCACAATCATCTCTGTGTCACTGACCTTCAGTTCCTGGTGCAAGCCAGGTTATATAACATTCTAGTCCACAGCTAACCGGTCTTAGTTTCTTGATTAACACCGTTTGCACCAGCACCACACTGAGATTTTGAAATTCACTTTCTGCTGCTCCAATTTGTATCACTGCCACTTCTGCTTTGTTATTAGAAGGCCTTATCAATATACTGTTAATATGAAGCCATTTTATAGAAACAATAGACTTTCTACTGCTCTATTTAGCATGCAGAGGTGCTCCAACCTCCCATCCTTAAATAAAATAAAACCCTTCTAGCCACTTTAATCTCCTTCCATCCCCTCACAGCAAAGCTCCAAAGAGAGGACTCCAAGTTCACTGTGTCTGCATCCTCACCTCCCGAATCAGGACCATCCACCACTCTCCAAGGTCCCCAAGTACCTTCTTTTTGCTGAACCCAAAGAATGTTCTTCAGACTTTATCTTTGTAACTGAAATGTTAACTTGAGTTACTTTCACCCTGGAGATTTAGATCAGATCTAAACTACATGCCGCCACCTAGGACATGTGGGAGCATAAGGCACTCTCCAATCTTCCCATGGTTACCCCAAACTTGGGTCCACAGCTCCACTCTATCAGTTCTGCAGTGGATTATTTTACAGCCCATGCATGTTGTCCTACCCCACAACAATCCATACTTGCCATTTAATCCTTTTCCATTATTTATACAAACTACACTCAGAAAGGTCTGTGTGTGGGCAGCAGAATTTACTATAGTTTGGTAGATACAGAGGAGATGAATTATGCTGTGGCAAACTCAACAACTTCAAATATGACATTAGTCATCCCACTTTTCAGCAGCTCTTCAGCCTCCCCCTCACTCCTTCATCCCACTTGGTGTTTAGCATCAAGACATATCACTGGCTCCTCTTTCTTCCTTCTCCTCTGATCCCTCCCTTTTACCTCATTCCTAAGTTTGTCCTTGTCCCCTCTCCACACTTAGGATCCCAAATTCTTCTCATTCTATTAGGCAAAGTCATTCAGTTCTCTCCAAGTTCTACTCCCAAACATTAATCTAGGCCCACTTAATTAAGCCTCACAAGTCTAGCCTGGCAGAACCACAAAGATTTCTGTTTGGCAAATTCAAGTCCTCCTTCTAAGGCAATTGGGGTTTTACACATATTTTTTCCTCCATTACATCTTATAACTTCTCCATGGCATTTGACATTTTGATAATTCTTTCTCTGAAATGTTTTCCTCCTCTGACACCTTTCTCTCTTGATTTCAATCTCAGTTCTCTATTTTTCTATTTGGAAGGCTTTTATTGCTTTGCATATTTTTTAAAAGTTGATTCTAACCTTGCCCCATGTATTTTACTCTAGAGTAGCTCCAGCTCTGTTCAATAGAAATATAATGCAAGGAGCATATATAATTTTAAAAGTTCTAGTAGCCATATTGTGAAAAGTGAACATTGAAAGGTAAAATTAACTTTATAACATATACTGTCTAACCCAATATAGCTAAAGTATTTTTTATCATGTAATCAAAATGAAAATTATTAATAACTGTATTTTATGTTTTTTAAACAAAATCTTCAAAATACAGTGTGTATTTTATACTTACAATATGTCTCAATTTAGTATCTGCTAAATTTTCATCAAAATATTTTATTGGTGCTTGGATTCATAAACTTTGGACTTGAAAAAATAGATATACATACCCAAATTGTTTGAAATGTAAGCTTTCCAATAATTGAACGCACACCAAAAATCACTATCTTTTCATATTTACATCCACATTGACAAAACCAGTTCATCATTTTTCAAAGAATGGATTTGACATTGAAGCAAAAGCATAGCTGTCCAAGCTTAGTAAATTTGCTAATTCTTATGTCAACTCGGTGTTATTAACATGAAATTCAAAGGTATATTGCAGACATTGAAAAGCAGCTCTATATATACTATTATAAACAAAGCGTTCCTTAAATTATTCTTGTGGTTCTTATAGCCAATATACACAATTCTGTCAATTACAATTAAAAGCTTGTACATATTGATTCATATTGTAAAAACATGTAAAATTGTTTTTTTGGTTTGTATTGTAGAAAGTTTCAATTTCAACATAAATGATCATACCTGTCTTAGCTAAGTCATAAATAAGCTTTTCTTTTCCTTGGCACTTAAAATTTTGCTCATTTGTACTATCTCCTTTTTCATCTCTGATTTTATTTATTTTAGATCATCTCTCTTTTTTACTTAGTCTGGCTAAAGCTTTCTCCATTTTGTTTAAGTTTTCAAAAACCAACATTTTATTTCATCGATCTTTTGTATTGTTTTCATTTCAATTTTATTTCTTCTCTTGTGTTTATTATTCCTTTTCTTCTACTAATTTTGGGTTTGGTTTGCTCTTGCTTTTCTAGTTCTTTAAGATGCATCATTAGATTATTTCTTTGAAGTTTTTCTTCTTTTTTGATGTAAGCGCTTATAAACTTCCCTCTTAGTACTGACTATTGACACTGCAGCAAGCATTCCTTTCATGGTTACTGGGTACTGGTTATTGGTTAGTGCATCTAAGGAGATAAATTTTTAATTTAATTTTATTTTATTTTAATTAGTTTACATTTAAATTTTAAAACCAAGGCTATGTAAAATATTTTTCTGTTAAATATAACTTTATTGTTTCAGTAAACTAAGTTTTACAAGCACTGCAACATGTAAGACACCATCTTTATTCTGTTCGTAGCAACAGGAGGCAGCCAAATGCCTAAGCAGATAGGGGTGGGTCTCTGGTGAAACCCTACCTTCAAGCCAAAAACAGCCTGAAGGCTGAAAGACTGGACTGCTGGTCCTGGATGAAACCCGCAACCCAGAGTGAGAACTTTTGCTCCTGTTTGCCCACCCTTTCCTGATTAAATTTTTCTGAATAATGTCTTTTAACC
This sequence comes from Homo sapiens, assembly GCF_000001405.40. Classification (NCBI taxonomy): domain Eukaryota; kingdom Metazoa; phylum Chordata; class Mammalia; order Primates; family Hominidae; genus Homo; species Homo sapiens. The sequence goes on from NW_017852931.1 coordinate 27,253, forward strand.
AATCGAATGTTGCCTTTTCAAATACTACCTATGGCCTGCCCCTTCCCCATTCTGAGCCCATGAAAGCCCAGGACTCAGTCACATTGGGGGGCACTTTCCTGCCTTTAGGTAGGGGGACCACTCCCATGTCCTCTCTTTGCTGAAAGCTGTTTCATCACTCAATAAAAACCCCTGCCTTGGGCTTAATACCTGGGCAATGGGTTGATAGGTGCAACAAACCACCATGGCACATGTTTACCTATGTAACACACCTACATATCCTGCACATGTATTCTGGAACTTAAAATTAAATTAAACTAAATTTAAAAACCTGCCTTGCTCACTCTTAGACTGTCAACACATTCTCATGCTTCTTGGGTGCAGGACAAGAACTTGGGGACTGGTGTGCAAGACAGACTTGGCCCTGGCAGCCAAGTGGGTGGGCCATCTCCTGCTGTGGGTAGTGTGCCCAGGCAGGGTGTCACTGGCCAGAGGTCCCCAGCTTGCAAAGTGACCAAAAAGAAAATCCTGTGTCACTATATAGTGTGTGTTGAGCATCTTCATCATTTCTTGTTATTGTCAAAGGGTTGATTCAGTTTGAATGCTCATTTTTTATGCACTGGTGTAACATTGTAACATATTTACTAGAATATTTTATATGTGGAGCACAAGTTACAGTGGTACCTATCTAAATCAAAATTAGTAATTAATTTGAAATACTTATTATTTTAATTATCTCACAATTAAAACATTTTTCTAGATTGTTTATCTTTTAGGCTCTTTGGGATTGACAAAGACCCTCTCCTTTGACCAAAATCTCAGGCTCCTCTGAGTCCTGAACTTGGCCTGCTTTTACTTCAAAATCAAATTCATTTTTTGAAAAATGATGAACCAGTTTTGTCAATATGGATGCAAATGTGAAGGATAATGATTTTTGGTGCTCATTCAGTTATTGGAAAGCTTATGTTTCAAATAATTTGAGTATGTATATCTACTTTTTCAAATCCAAATTTATGAAACCAAGTACCAATAAAATATTTTGATGAAAATTTAGCATCTGAATTGAGGCATATTGTAAGTATAAAATACACACTGGGTTTTGAAGATTTTGTTAAAAAAACATAAAATATAGTCATTAATAATTTTTATTTTGATTACATGATAAATAAAAATACTTTATATTGAGTTAAATAGTATACGTTATTAACATTAATTTTACCTTTCAGTTTTCACTTTTTACAATGTGGCTACTAGAACATTTAGAATTATACATGCTGCTGCTTGCATTATATTTCTATTGGACAGAACTAGAGCTACTCTAGAGTAAAATGCAGGGGGCAAGGTTAGAATCAACTTTTAAAAAATATGCAGAGTTCTAAAAGCCTACTGAACAGAAAAATAGAGAACTAGGATTAAAATTCTGTGTCCTTATAGAATCTAGTTTGAGCAGGAATCCTGCTAAATCAGATTAGTGAAAAAATCTCCCACCCTTGGTATCTGACCACTTTGATATCTTATCATCATGGCCTGCCTTCAGCAGTAATCCTATCCAGTCACTTTAATCAGGAACTCCTTATCCTTGATGTTTCCTCTAGTAATTTTCCATCCACTGACCCCACCCTTGGTTATAAATTCCCACTTATCCTTGTTGGAGTTGGAACTGTCCAATCTCTCCACTGCAAGACCCCATGGTGGTGACCCTATCACCGTAGCTCTCTTGAATAAAGTCTGCCTTACCATCTTTAACAAGTGTTCGGATAATGTTCTCATTTAGCAGGCAGCAAGAGCTGTGTCTTTTCTGCTCTGTACTTCTAGTGCCTAGCATAGCACATAGCAAAGAACAGGTGCTCAATTAGCACTTGTTGACTGAACAGTCAGGGCTCACCATGCACCTCTTCCCTCCCATTCTTTCCTCTAGCTGACATGCCAGTATTGCAGCACGGCATTAGATGTCTAGATACGTTCCTTATTTAACATATGGCATATCCAGCAAAAAGAAAAATGAAAATGCTTAAAAGGAATTCTGCATGCATATTTTCTCAGTGTGGGTCTCAAAACTTGGAGAGTTCAGATATTCAGAATGCTATCTATACAAAGATCAGAAAAGAGTTGTCTTCAATTGGAGGCTTTATATATTTCCTTGAGAAGATCTGTGCTTAACCCACAGTATTAAAACAATATATACTGTACTTGTCATGACTAGAGGCAGTTCGAGAGGTCAAACAGACCTGGGGTTCAAACCCTGCCTCCTCTACCTGGTAGCATAATCTCAGGCAAACTACTTAGTCTCGCTAAGTCTAACTGTGCTCAAAAGTAAATTGGCAATAAATCTAACTATCCCTGAGGTAACGGTGGAGATCAAGAAGCATGCAAACCACACAGCCCAGCACTCACATGGTAAGACCGCAGTATACCTTAGCAATTTTTATTATGAATAATAGTAATAAGCAAAATGTGTTAGCTACCATGTTTTATTATAAGCATTAGAAATAGATTCCGATTAACTTAAGCAAACAAGAGGGGAAGGAAGGTTAGTTATAAAAGCTATAAAGCAGCAGAGAACAGAAAGGAAGACTGAATCAGGAAAAATAGGAAGCAAGGATGCTCTGGGAAACGACATTTCATAAATTAAAAAATCTACTCAAAGTGCCATGATCAGAATGATTCACCTCTGATGATTTTTCTGCCCTGTGCTGTTAGGTTAGATGTTCAAATTCCAGATTCATGGAAGAGAGTCTTATCTGCCTAGTATGGGTACTTTTATGCCAACCCTTTGGCATGGTGGCAAAGGTGGCTTGCAGGTCTGCACCACCTTGATTGACAGTTTCTTCAAGAATATATTCACATGGTATGGGTTATCCCCTCAGTAAAATTGGAGTGCTGCTTTCAAATCAAGGAGTAAGGAATGCTTTACAGGTAAAAACAGCAGATGTCCTCTACACATCGTTTTATCACAAGCTATAGATTACACAGACTCTGCAGTGTTTGTATAGGGTATAGAAAAGCTTTTGTTATTATCTAGTTCACTCCAGTGAGACAGAAGTAAAACAGGTAGAGAGCTGTCTGCTGAGGATGTGGCCCCGAGATAAGGATTCCTGGAATGTTTGAGCTGGGAAGGGTGGATTGCCCAAAGCAATCTATATTATTTGAGACTGTAGGAAAATTTGAATAGCGGTGGAAGGATGCCAAATTCTAGATGGAGAGACAGGGCCATTGAACTCTAAAGCACAACGTGAAACAGGAGAATGAGCAAAAGTGAGAGACTGAAAAATAGAGAGTAAAATGAATTGGGTTTGAAAGACTTAGAGCATCTAGTGCAGTTAAAGCTCTGAATACCATTAAGGTGGTTTCTTTCTTATTTTTATGCCTTCCAGAGCATTTCCAGTGGCTAAAGATGAGTGCTTCAACGGATCATCCGAAGAGGTTCTGCAGGGCTAGAGAGACTCCAAACACAAGAATTGGGCAAACACTGAACTGGATGTGGTTGCTGAATTGTTTCTGTCCTTATCTTGTTGAGATGTTTTACATCTTTCATCAGAAATTTCTCCACTGTCCTTGAGCTAGTGTTTTCCAAATGCCAGTCGATAGAGCAGTGCTGATCTGTGACAACATTTTCACTGATCTGTAGTCATATCAAAGAATAAAAAAATAGGCTGGACAAAGTGGCTCATGCCTGTAATTCCAGCACTTTGGGAGGCCAAGACATGCAGATCACTTGAGGTCGGGAGTTCAAGACCAGCCTGACCAACATGGAGAAACCCCATCTCTACTAAAAATACAAAATTAGCCGGCCGTGGTGGCACGTGCCTGTAATCTCAGCTACTCAGGAGGCTGAGACAGGAGAATTGTTTGAACCCTGGAGGTGGAGGTTGCGGGGAGCCGAGATTGCGCCATTGCACTCCAGCCTGGGCAACAGGAGAGAAACTCCGTCTCAAAAAAAAAATAAAAATAAAAAATAAAAAATAAACAGAAAAATAAAAATTCATATTTCTCAAGTGAGGTTTTCATAAAATTAAACTCCTCAATTTGAAGGGTTTTCTTTTATTCTAAAATTATGTCCTTCTTCATTCTGGTTTCTCTTCAGATTGTATAAACCTTTTGGTTTTTACTCAAATTATGTTCTCATACATTTTGATGTTAAAATATCCTTATTTTTAGTGGGAAGATGGCAAAAATGGATGGTAGTTTTAAAAATATCTTTACTTGGCGCAATAAATACCTGGCAACCATATATTGATTTCCTCTCTACTTTTTAAAAATATATGTTAGTCTATAAAATATAAAATCTGAAAACCATGGCTCTAAATGCCTCTAAGTCTCTCACGGCTCACTTCCCATGCGAGTGCACATGGGGAAAGTTGTTACAGTCCCCATCAGCAGGAGGAACACAGGAGACCCAAGTTCAAATCTTGCTTCTCCACTTACTGGTCCTTTGACCTGGAATAAGACATTTGGTTTTATCTGTAACATAGCAATGAGTATTGTACCTACCTTATAATGGTTTTTATGGGGTGCTCAGTAGATGTTTGCTCTAATGACTACTATTACTAATTTCAGGTAATTTTTTTTGTCTCTCAAATTATAATTAGAGTTTAGACTTTAAAGACCAGATCTTTTCATTTAAATTTTTATATCTCAAAATACTGTCTGAATGATGGACAAATCTCTCCTTAAGGTAACCATTTAAATTCATTCTCTGAAAAAAAATGTATTGCATCATGAAATGAAAATCACCTTTAAAAATATAAATTGCAAAGTGAATGGTGATTTTCCTCTGACTTTCCATTGATACCATAAGGAGCTGGATTGTCAGAATCCTTTAGAATTGTAAAAAAAATGGCAAAGGGGACAGGGGCCTGTTCCTCATTTGTTTTGAGTAGACACTTATCACCAACACACCATAGGTCTAATCCTGTCTAAATCTAGAAATAAGAGCTTAGATTCAATAACTTCTAAAAATTCCCCAGATCAGAGCAATTGGATTTAAGCTTCATAAGCAGTGAATATTGTATAACTTTTAATTGCCTAATTGTAGGCTTAAGCATGTTAAGCTATTTTCATTTCAAAGTTTCAAGCCCAAGTCTATTTAAATAAGCTGAAATCAATGGCACTTCATAAACTGCCTCTTTTACAAGAATTCCAGAGTCATTCTCTGTCCCTTTTTTCTTTGTGACAGCTTCAACTTTTATGCTTTCAGAACAGATCACTGGCAGAATGTTCCTACAGTAGAAATAAAACGACTTTGTAGTTTTTCTTCATTATCAAGATCTGAAATATTTTAACAAATGTTAGTCGGTTGGTGAGGCCTGGCAAGCTCTGGAAGGAGCTCTGGAGAGGAACCAAACTATGTCTCTCACATGTTCCCACGCTTTCTTATGTAATAAAAAGAGTCCATGCTGCCTGAATGTCTTTCATCATTATGATTTTCTAAGGCTGTCTGAAGTGTATGGATAATCCCATTGTTACCTAATCCATCACAGTACTTAATATTCCCAGGAGCACCCTTCCAGCTTTCCATGGAAAATTTCAGTTTCAGAAACCTGGGTTTGGAAAGCTCAACATTCTTGATTTCAAGCAATGAATTGAGAAGACTGGTGAGCAGGGTAAGCTTGAAGGGCGGGGCTGGTATTCAGATCTGGGTATTTTCCCATACATTTCCCTCAGATGGGTTTTGCGATTAGACTTGACAATCTCTGGAGGCTGTATCTCCATAGGCCTAGAGCAACAGGCTCACTTTCAAACAGTAAAAGGAAATCTGATAGAATGCAATGGGTGATAAGGTCATGTTTTCCTGTGCAGTGTTTATTTGTTCTGGTCTGACACTAGGTTTTGTGGCTCAAATTAAATTTTAACAAACGCCGTCTGAGAACTTCCCCTGGGAAGGGGCTGAGTCAAGTCGGGAGGATAGAGCACTGTGGTGGATGAACTTGGGGCAAGGCTGGACTGAACATTTGGATGAAAGCTAAGGGCTCAGGATGACCACTCCACGTGAGCAGGGGGACAAGGCCACACTGCAACATCAGCCAGGTGTGCAGTGAAGAGTGGGGTTCAGGGCGGGTGCAGTGGCTCACACTTATAATCCCAGCACTTTAGGAGGCCAAGGGGGGTAGATCACTTGAGGCCAGAAGTTCAAGACCAGCCTGGCCAACATGGCGAAACCCCATCTCCACTAAAAATCCAAAAATTAGCCAGGTATGGTGGTACACACCGGTAATCCCAGCTATTCGAGAGGCTGAGGCATGAGAATCACTTGAACCCAGGAGGTGGAGGTTGCAGTGAGCTGAGATCATGCCACTGCACTCCAGCCTGGGTGACAGAGCCAGACACCACGTGCTGAAGATACAGCAGAGAACAAAATAGACAGTGTCCCTGTCCATTAAGAACTTGTTTTGATTGAGAGTTCTGGATAATAAATAAGTAACAAATAAAGCAGTGTATAATTTCAAGAAGTAATAAATGCTAAAAAGAAAGCTGAATAAGAACCACAAGATGGAGATAATGAAAAGAAAGCCACTTTAAGTATGCTTATCATATTTGAGGGACAGCATCTATGAGAAGAAGAAATTTGAGTTGGGGGGAGCTGATTAAAACCAGGAAATCTTCTATGTAGAGATCCCATGGAGCAGTTCTCAGGGGGAGCAGCATGTGCGAAGGCCCAGTGGTGGAATAGTTTGGCATGACTGAGAAACAGCAAGAACGTCAGTGTGCCAAGAACAGGTTGAGCAAGAGGAAGAGCTGGCAGGCAATGAGTTTGAAGAGAGGCAGCAGGCAGATTTTAGGGCCTTCCAGGCCCTGGTTAAAAGCTTGAATTTTATTTAAAATGAAATGAGACTCCCACCCTTGGTATCTGACCACTTTGATATCTTATCATCATGGCCTGCCTTCAGCAGTAATCCTATCCAGTCACTTTAATCAGGAACTCCTTATCCTTGATGTTTCCTCTAGTAATTTTCCATCCACTGACCCCACCCTTGGTTATAAATTCCCACTTATCCTTGTTGGAGTTGGAACTGTCCAATCTCTCCACTGCAAGACCCCATGGTGGTGACCCTATCACCATAGCTCTCTTGAATAAAGTCTGCCTTACCATCTTTAACAAGTGTTCGGATAATGTTCTCATTTAGCAGGCAGCAAGAGCTGTGTCTTTTCTGCTCTGTACTTCTAGTGCCTAGCATAGCACATAGCAAAGAACAGGTGCTCAATTAGCACTTGTTGACTGAACAGTCAGGGCTCACCATGCACCTCTTCCCTCCCATTCTTTCCTCTAGCTGACGTGCCAGTATTGCAGCACGGCATTAGATGTCTAGATACGTTCCTTATTTAACATATGGCATATCCAGCAAAAAGAAAAATGAAAATGCTTAAAAGGAATTCTGCATGCATATTTTCTCAGTGTGGGTCTCAAAACTTGGAGAGTTCAGATATTCAGAATGCTATCTATACAAAGATCAGAAAAGAGTTGTATTCAATTGGAGGCTTTATATATTTCCTTGAGAATTAAAAAAATGAGATTTTTAATAGGAGAATTATTTGATTAAATTCCATTCTAAGAAAACCACTCTGGCTATACGTTGTGGCACAAATTGGAGGTAGACAAAGAGTCATGGCAGGGAGAACAATTAATAGACCAGACTGGACATTATGGACCAGGATCATGAAAATAGAAATAAATATCTCAAAAATATGTATAAAATTAGAGATAGAAATAATAGATCTTGCTAACAAATTAGTTGTAGAGTTAAAAAAAGTAAGGACAGAATCAAGAAAGGGTCTTTGAATTTCAGAACAAAAAGGCAAGGATTCTGGGCAGGTTGTTCTCCTTATTTATTCTCCCTTAAAATTATAAACCACCGTTTCTTGGTTACTGTAGGTTTTTGCCCTCAGCCTTGTAACTGTTCATTTTTGTCACTTGCAGCATAGCCACACTCTGCAAATGATCAAAATCAGCATCGCTCACTCTGTGGGGCTCTTGGAAACAAGTCTGCTTAGCTCTCCCCAAACTCCACATGGTTCCCCCAAATGGCAGCACTGGGGCCCAGCATGAAGCAGCTAATGCTGTGTATGGGATGCAATTTCAAAACACCCCAGATCCATTCTAACTAATCAAGTGGACCAGAGGGGAGCGCTCCTCAGAGGTCCAAACCACACAATCTCCATAGCCCATTTTATATTCTCAAATATATTTCTTTGAATAATTTTTTGAAGTGAAATTGTTTTGAATTCTCATGATCTTTCTGTTGAAATTTATGAAAAAAGATGATTCATGTGCTCTTCTGGATATAAAATATAGCTAGAAAAGTAAAGCAAAAATAAAATCAATTCCATGTTAGGGAAGGAAATTCAGAATTTATATATTAGATGAGGAAAGCTGGACCATAATTAATTAGCAAATATTCTTAAATTTGGGTGAGCAAATGTGTTCTGTTTTTATTGTGGAACGCTGAGCTGTGGAGATGTTCTGGACCTGATGCCAATTAGCCTCCCATTTTTACTTAATTAAGTGTCATGTAGAGCTCCTGCTGGCATAAAATGGTTTTCAGTTCTGCTGTTTTTCTTTTGCTTTCTTGTCAAAATCCATTTACCAAATGGTACCAAAAACTATTTTTTAATACATAAAATGTAGAGGTATGGATAGGTATGCAGAACAGGATCTGTGGAAGCGGATAAACTCACCTGAATCCCAGCTCTGTCACTTTCTAGCGCCTGCTCTTTGCTATTATTTCACCTTTCGAATCCTTAGTTTCCTCCCGTGTAAAACAGGTAAAATACCCACCTCATAATGCTGTTGTTAGGACTAAATGAGATAGAGTAAGGACTTAATGAATGAATGGTTGTTCTTTTGTAATAATTATAGACTTATAGGAAATCGCACAAAGAATATGGAGAAGTCCCTGTGCCCTTCGTCCAGTTTCCCTCAATGATTACTCCTTGCATAGTTATAGTATGATATCAAAACCACAGAATTGATTTTGATATAATGTGGATGTATATTTTGAGGTCATTTTATCACATGTGTGTATTCCTATAGTCACCACTACAATCAAGATAAAGAACTATTCCATCACTACGAAGGTCTCTCCCTTATGCTACCCATAAAGTGACACCCACTTCTTTCCCTTACTCCCACCAACTCTAACCTCTAGCAACCACCAATCACTATAGTGATGAGTTTTCCATCACTGTAATTTTGTATTTCTATATGAATGAGAATGTTTATGTAAATGGAATAACAGTGTATTACCTTGAGACTGGCTTTTCTTTTTCATTCAGCATGACGAACTTGAGATCTATCTAAGTGGTTGCATGTGTCAATAGTTCATTTATTTTTATTCCTGAGTAGCACTCAATGGTATGCATATACCACAGTTCATTTAGCAATTCAGTTATTGCAGGACATGTTGGTTGTTTTTGGGCTTTGGCTATTACAAATAAAACTACTTGGGAACACCTTACACAGGTTTTTGTCTGGATATAAATTTTCAGTTATCTGAGATAAATGCCCAGAAGTGTGTTTGCTCAGTTTTGTGAACTTTTTATCGAATTCTCATGTTATGAGTCACAAGATTGCAATTGTTGCAATATAAGAGATTGCCAATAAACCCCATCAAAGGCAAGGAGAGGAAGTTGAATAAAATCCTTGGGTAGTACATTAGTCCATTTTCTGTTACTTAGAATACCTAGAACTGGGGAATGTATACAGAAAAGAAATATATTTCTTACAGTTATGGAGGCGGAGAAGTCCCAGATTGAGGGATCACATCTGAGGAGAGCCCTCTTGCTGGTAGGGACTCTCTGCAGAGTCTTGAGGCAGCACACGGTGTCACATCGCAAGGGGGCTAAGCATGCTTACATGCTAGCTCAGGTCTCTCTTCCTCTTCTTATAAGCAGCAAGTTCTCCTCCCATGGTAATTTATTAATTCATTAATCTCTTAATGGTTTAATCCATTCATGAGGGCAAAACCCTCATGACCCTCTCACCTCTTAATTTTAGGCCTACCTCTTAATATGCCATGGTGGAGATTGAGTTTCAACATGAGTTTTGTAGGGGACATTCAAACTATAGCAGGCAGGATTGCAAAACTATTGTATGTTAGTCAGGATAATTAATATTAGCTACTCTAACAACCCCACAATCCTAGTAGCTCAAAACAGTAATTATTTATTTCTTCCCCAATCAATGTCCACTGTGGGTTGCGCAGCTCTGCTGAGTGACGCCCTCTCTCTACTCTGTGGCTCCACCCATTGCAGAGTTCTAGCAGCTCTGCCATCTTTGCTTTTAGCTGGGTGGATGTGAGAGAAAGGAGAGCCCATGATAGATCAGTCTGGATGTTTTTGGACTCAGGCCTGCGAACGCCATACATTGCTTATTAGCTAAAACCAGTTACATCACCTCCACTACCTACAAGCAAGGTTAGGAAATGCATTCTCCCAAGAAGAGGTAATGAGGCATCTATCTGTCTAGGCTCTGTCACAGAGAAGCATTGTATCACTAGTAAGCAGCAGCTATGAACCAGCGGAGAGACAGACATTTTGTTATTACTATTAAAGCATTGCAAGTTGAACTTAAATCTTGTTTGAGGTAAACTCAGTAGCAATCCTTGAATCACTTTCTATGAGGATGACTGACAGAACTAAAGACAAGGTAATACCTGTAACACAGATAACAGTGCCCACTATTTGGTAGTCACAATCATGAAGGCAGTTGATGTGTACTGCATATATTAAATGCTCCTGACTGGAAGCAGGTGATCTTTGGGAAATCCAGGAGTGAAGAGGGGTTGAAGAAAGAAGAGATGGAAATGTGCCCAGACCAGACTCACTGGCCTCTCTTGCCAGCTCTCAAGGATTCTGCTCATTCTGCAAGATATAGCCAGGCTAAATCCAGGTTAAGCCAGGATCATCCAAGGGTCACGTCCAGCCCTCTGACTGTTGTTGTATGCATGTGAGCTAAAGACAAGGTTTATATGTTTAAATGGTTTTTTTAAAAAAATAAAAAAGAAATATTATTTTGTGACACTGAAAATTACATGAAATGCAAATTTCATTGTCTATAAGTTTTGTCAGATCTCAATCAAATTCGTTTGTTTCCATATTATTTACAATTGCTTTCATTCTACCCAACAGAGTTGAATAGTTACAAGACAGACTGTATGTGGCCTACAAAGCTGAAAACATTTACTATCTGGCCCCGGTTTGCCAGTGCCAAGTATAAGCCATCTGGGCCTCATAGCTTTTCAAGGTTTTGAAAATGTTATTAGGTTCATGGAAAGCCATGCCTCTTTTATGCCATCTTTATTTAATGACTTTTTCACATTGGAAAAATAGCACTGTTATTTTTTAAAATCCACTTTTAACAAAACTTCATCATCTACTTGTCAGAGGAGCAGTCATCCCAAGCGTTAATAATCCTACTGCTGAGCCCGCAGGGATAATGGTATTATCCTTGGAATCTACCAGCATCGACCTTAGAGTTTTCAGTCCTGAAAAAAAACTGCAACATATCCAACATTGCACCATCCTAAAATGTTACATAACTGTAGCATAGTTATATTATGTGACTGAAAACCTTCACTATGAAAAAGACATTCCCTGGACATAAAGTGTACAGGTTTTTAACTGTATTTAGAAATCGTTAGCTTTTAAAACTTGCTTGTTCCCCTTTGAACAGCAAGTTCAAAAGCGTCAGAAAAAAAAATACAAAGTTTTCTTTAAAGAAAAATGTTCCCATTCTGGCAGTGTTGTGAAATACTTCATCTTTTAAAATAACCTCCAGAAACTCAGCTGTAACACCACAATTGACAGAAATGAATAAGTAGCCCTTGGGTTATTTTGATATCCTAAGAGAATACATGAATCTCTCTTCCTCTGATACCTTAGGAAAATTATCACATTTCATACCTCCTTAACAACTCATGAGCTTTCTTTTTCCATATCTGATTTTTTTTTTTGACAGGGTTTCACTGCCATCACCCATCACCCAGGCTGGAGTGCAGTGGTGTGCTGTAGGCTCACTACAACCTTCACCTCCCAGGCTCAAGAGATCCTCCTGCCTCAGCCTCCTGAGTAGCTAGGACTACAGGTGTGCACCAACAGCCCTGGCTAATTTTTGTATTTTTAGTAAGAGACGGGGTTTCACCATGTTGGCCAGGTTGGTCTTGAACTCATGACCTCAAGTGATCTGTCCACATCAGCCTCCCAAAGTGCTGGGATTACAGGCATGAGCCACCGTGCCCCACCTGGTTCTGTTTTAAATGTGTAGTTGACAAGAGCACTGCCTTAGAAATCAGACTGCTCCAAATTCACACTCTCCTCTGGTACTTAAGCTCGTGACTTTGGGTAAACCACATGCTGCCCTGTGTCTCAGTTTCCTCATCTGTAAAAGGAGGTCACACAGTGCTGACTTCAGAGAGTTATTGTAGAGTCAAATGGGGTATATCATAGAAAGCCCTTAACACAGTGCCTGGCACACAGAAAACTGTCAATAATATTGTCTATGATTAGTGATTTTTATAGTCTCACTATTTTTTCAACTGCATGGTTGTAAAACCCAGAAATAGTTACAGAGACAAGTAGCGACCATTATCAACAAAATATAAACCATCTGTCAGTGAATTAAACAAATTCAAACAGAAAAAGTGTCTTTCATTTAGCAAGGTACAGAGTGAAATATATCAGTTACATGGTCAGAAATATTACAGGTATTAACTTAAGCCAACATAATCGTTTTGCATAATGCTGTCTTAAACTCTTAGTAAATCTTAAGATTTATAAAACCACATGATTAACTCATCCTGCCCCTATTTAAGTCCTTCTTATGATGAGGAAAACACTGTCCCTTGAAGCAACCCATTACGATTTGAAACACTTTCTTAAACTGAGCTGAAAATTGTTTCTCTGGTGCTTACAGTCTTTGGGCCAAGTCCCACACTCTGGAGACAAATCTAATAGTGCTTACCTTTGACAGGCCTTCAAATGTGTGATAATGTCCCACACTTCTCCTTAGTTAACTACTCCAGTTCCTTTAACTCTTCATCACACCATAGGGTTTGTGGAGCCTTCATCATCTTGGCGACGAATCCCATTGTGCTTTAAGAATAACACAATCCCCTTAAAAAAAAAAATCTCTAGACGCTGCCCTGTGGCAACTGAACAACTACCTAAATTAACCCAACTGTGTAGCTGGAGAAAAGGATTCTAAGTATGTTCTCAGAGCAAAATTCAAAGCAACTTATTTAATGTTTTCACTGGTTCTGTTCTGCAGGTTAGAATAACATAACGATAATACTGAGAGGCACCATGAGAAACTAGAACTTTAGGACTCAGTGCTTAGAGAATTTAAAATTGGAGGTCTTGTTTATTTAGTCCCCCATACCTCTAAATAGATTCTGAATATCTGAATGATATTGAACCCAGCAATTAGATGAATGTGCTTTTCTTTCCAACACTATGTCACGAACTGTGAAGGGTCTGAGATTTTATCCTATTTGCAAACTAACAAGTGAGCCTGCCACAGTTTTGTGGATGCTGTCAGAAGACACTAGACTCCTGGGTCAGAGCCAAGGGAGTCTATTACCCAAGGCATAACAAGTAGCCTAAAATTCATGCTCCTGTTGTTTCCATTTGCCTGTGCGTTCCATGGGTGTGAGGTCGAACAGTGTATGTGGATGGTAAGATTGCAGTGGTTTTGCATTACAGCTGAGAAACCTCAGGCTTAAAACATCCGTTCAATCTTTTATAACAGATTGCAAGCAAGCTGACCCAGTTTTTGCCCCAGAGGGAGACTTTATCTTTATTACACTGGACAGTAAACAAGGCTGCCCTCTGCTTCAGAGGAAGGTACTAATCTCTATTTTCCATGGCTGTTCAAGGCCTCTGCTTGCAAGATGTGTGCAGGGCAAGGGACACATGGAGAGGGGTCTCTCAGCACACCATAGGGTTTTATTAGAAGGAGTACTTACTTCTCTAGAACATTAAACCAATCAGTAAGTATTTCCTGAATGTCTGCTATGTGCGCAACAGTTTTCTAGGTACTGTGAAGAATAAAAAGTCCATGGTCTCTTGATTCCAGGTACTTAGAATTTATCAGGTACTACCTGACCCAGAACAATAGGAAACAATGCAAGATAAGCGAAAGCTAAATTAGGACTTATGCATTCATTCATACAAATAAATATTTCATGCCTTGTATAAACACTAGCACTTACTTAGTGCCAACAGTATGCCAGGCCCTAATCTAAGCCCTTTACATATATCAAAACAAGCATGTGAAATACCTCCTAGTATACTCCTTTTGACATGTGTGGAAATAAAGGCACAAGCATGTCGAGTGGTTTGTCCATAGTCACATAGCTAGGAACTTTTCATTGTGCCCAGACGCTGACTCTGGAGCCACAGTCTTACCCTGAACACTGAACTGCCTACCTTGTCACAGACACTTATCCAAGCTGGAGCTCTAAAGTCAGGGCAGGGACAAACCCTGTCTTCACAGAGCTAACAGCCTCAAATGGCACACTTACTAGCAGATATTAGTTTGATGAAAGGGAGAATAAAAGGGCATTTTTGACAGGAAGCCCAGTTCAGAAGTGATTGCAGAAATCAGTCCAGAAGTGTTGATGGCCTGAGCCAAGCAGGGGCAGGGGAAATGGGGAAGAGGGTACAGAAGAGGGAGAACAGAGACATAAAGCGTGAGAGATGTGAGTAACTGGAGGTCAGAGGTGAAGAAGAGAGAAGTGTCCAGATGGATCCTGGCATCTGGACTGGGTTCTGCATGCCTGTGTCATCTGCACACACAGATGGCCCAAATTAATGAAAGTAGGAGGAAGGGCAGGATTGGGGAAAGGACACTGATTCCATTTGGGATATGTCCAGTTTGAGGTAACTATGCAATGTCCAAGTCAAACGTCAATTCAATCCAGAACATAGATACTAGTTGCCACCATGGATGTGGCTGATTTGGCCCAAGGTGCGTGTGGAGCATGCCAAGAGTACAGAACCAACCAGACAGCAGAAATATACTCCAGGGACAGGGAGAGAGGAAGAGAGGAGTTCAAAGAAAGGAGCGATCAAGCAAGCCTGCAGTAACCAGGGAAGCCCCTGGAGCAGGGTTTTGAGTGAGCATTTGCAGGGGCAGCCTTGGTGCCATCGTCCTGGAGAGCGGAGTGCACAAGGCAGTGCAAAGAGCTCGTGCGGGCCAGAACATGCATCATGATGGCATCATTTATAATTCTGGGCCCTGGTAACTGGATGGGTCTTTGTTTTCTAAGTGCTCAGAAGGTGGAGATGTGCAGGTTTGAAGGCAGAAGCCACGAGATTTTCAAGGATGAAGGTATTTAAAATACAGTGTGTCCCATAATAGGAACTTGGGAGGAGAGAGATATCAATGTAGGATTTAAAGAGTTGGCTCCCAGCATACATAGTTAAACTCTCTCATCCATCCTCCTTATAAAATGTAGATTTGGCTCTAATGCTGAGCTCTTTCAGGGTAGTCTTGGGTGAGAGCAGTGGCTGCAGATGGGGAGAGCAGACATTTGCTTATATTGTGAGGGTCTTGTCTGGGAGCCTTAGAGCACATGTCAGATTACGTCATCCCCCTAGTCACCAGCCTGATGTCCTTGTGACTGTCAACAAGTTCATCACTCCGGGAAGGTAGATTTACACTGGCAGGAGCTGTGATCATCCTTATGCTACCACCTTGCAGTCAGAAGGAAGTTACAGTGACTGAGCCACTGCCCAGCTTTGGGGGAGTACATGGTACAGGAGTGGGCATTTCAGACGGAGGGAGCATGGTCAGCCTCACAGGAGCTTCTAAACTGGTAAATGTGAGAAACTCCCTTGGCAAGGGGCAGGCTGCAGATGACTGTTTAAACAAGCCTCAAGAGAGGCTGAAACACTTAAGAATTGAGAGTCATTTCAGGGAGGGAAAAAGCACATCCTGACAGACAAGGCTGACCTGTTTCAGGGTCTCACCCTTGGACGGCTCAGAGATGCTCTCCTGCCAGCAAGCACTGAGAAATCTGATCAGGGCTGCAGAGTGCTCCAGACACTGGCGATATAGCCAGGGAGTCAGTGCTATGCACTAGAGAGGAAGAACTTGAAGTAAGTTGGAAGAATATGACATTAAAATATAACAAAGGTTTTAGAGAGGCAATAGAGATTCACGGAAAAATTTCAGGGTCTGATGTGGGGAATTACACACATCTTGGAGCTGTGTGTCTTTCTCTTTGGGAGAAGGCTGAGAGTGGTCACTGAACAGTTATCCACGAAGTCACAGTTCTCCAGGAGGGTCCCCACCAGCTTTTCCACATGCTGTGCCTTCTATCAGGAAGATTCTCTAGCCCACTGCTTCCTCCTTCTCCTGTTTGTGAAAAATACCTACTTATCTTTCACACTAAGCTCAAGAGCCCCTCTCCTCCTCCCCAGGAAGGATGCTCCCTCCTTCTTTTGTGTACCCCAGTACCCCACATGTGTCTCTGGTTGAAGCTGGTATACTTTATGGCACCTTTTCATTTCCAGGTAGAATTCCTCTGGTAAATTCCAGCCCTTAAAGGACACGGACCATGTCTTACTATCTGATTCCTCAGCCCCTGCCCCAGTGCTTGGTATAAAAGAGGTACTTGGCAAATGGTGGGTGGCCACTGTCCTCCACCCCCTGTTCCCACCGCCTCCAGGAGAACAGAGAGCAGTGTGGGAGCCAGGACCAGGGCTGTGAGAGCTGGGGACCTAGAGCAGTTCTGGATTTCTGGGATGGATTGGGAGGAAACTGGAGAACTCTAGAGGAGGCAGGAAGCCAGAGTGACCGTGTGGGAAGCCAGCACCCACCCAGCCAGCCCTGTGACTGTGGAAAGGACCCCTGAGAGAGAGAGTGGCCAGAGTAAACTACTGCTTCAGAGCCCAGAGGGGGAAACGGCTGGGAAGAAGGAGGTGGAACCAACTTCTTGGTGCAAAAGGCTGCTAAAGGCCTACCTTTTTTTTTCACTTTCCTGGATCAAAGAGAAGCTCTTGAGATAGGAAAGGTGACTGACTGAGTCAGGAACACTAGTCACTATGACTGCTTCCCTCATCCTGCCTGAAATCCCACCAATCAGAACACCAGGAGATTTAGATGGTTGTGCAATGCAGTGCCTTGATGTTCTGGTGGTGAATGGGGTGGATGCACAGGTTCCATTCCTAGGGGTCAGGGCCAGGAATTAGGGGAGGCATTGTGTGGGAGGGCTCTTATTCCAGGGATATCACAGTCCAAGTCCAACACCAGCAGACGGAGCTTGGGTGTGCTGGCCCCAATTTGTGCACCTCCCCGGTTTTCTCAAACTGGTTTTCTGCTCTGTGTTGGAGATGGTCCCCTAGATGCTAGGAGATGGCCTGGCACCAGCCCCATTCTCGTCATTCTTGTAAGTTCCATATGCAACCCCCAATTACCATGAGGGTGGCTGGGCCCCATCACCAGGGGGAGGTCCGTGTCCCCTCCTGCCACCTGCTGTGGCCACAGTCCTGGGCTGGCATCACATGCTTCCATCCCTAACACTGTGGCTTTAGGATCCAGCTGGGGCCCAGGGGCCATGGGGGAAGCAAATGTGGCCAGAAGCAAGTGGAAGCCTATAGATAGCTTTCGCCCTTTTCCTCCTGCCTTTCTCTCCAACATGTAATATTCGGAAATGCAGCAGCCTCAGCCTCTCTGAAGATATCCTGGGAGACCTGGTAGCCAGCTTGGGAACACACTTTCTTATATTTACTCTCTCCCTTTCTAGGCGTCACCCTATATTTGCTCTGACACACGCTTTCCTGGAATTTTGTTCCCCAGCAGTGTTAGCTGTAAGCTTGCATCTCAGGCCTTTGTCTAGGGCCCGTAGGTTCAGAGACCCTGGGAGCCAGGACAAGGAGGGTCTAATAATCAAAGAAAGTACCATGGAAGAAAGGGCAAGATAGATTCTAATATTCCAAAAATAAATGGCTTGGGCTTGCCTGGACCCTTATTCTCCAGAGGCCACATGAGACAAGTTACCTGCCTTCAGGGTGCTCCCAGTGGTATCTGGGAACAGGACCCTGCATGCGCCGTGGTTCCAGAACCTGGTGCTAGAGAAACCTCATGCTGAGAAGAGGGAGAGAGAGCTGAGTGCTCTGCTCCAGGGGCATGAGGACATGAGGAATGGGGCTCCTCCGGAAGACAGGCACAGAACTTGGCTCTTCTACCAGAATCATCTGAAGAATCTCTTCTCTTTCTGTGCCACCGGAGCTGAATGGAAGGCCAACATGGGGAATGCAGCCGGCTCTGTGGGGGCCAGGGAGGGAGAGTCCCTACTGGTGAGGAATCCAGCAGATCTGGAGGCTCACCCAGCCCTGCTACCTGAGGACCTCGGGCACATTAGTGAACATTTTAAGCTTTAGTTTACACATCTATCCAATGGAAAAGATGTTCAGAGAAATTATGAAAGACTGAAATGGGCAGAAGAGATTCCTGGGAGTATTTTCAATGGAGGGCCAGGCGTTAGCTGTCCCAAGAACCCTCCTGGCCTTTTAGATTCTGTACATCATCTTTAGTGATCCCTGAGGAGGTTATTTTACAACTTGCTAGAGATAAAAGCTAATTTATAGAAAAATGATAGAGATGCAACTATGTCATATTATTCTTTTTTAGGGCAATACAAATCATACCTGTCTGATTGAAAATATAAGTCTCTACAAGTTAAATTCAAATTTGAACTAGTTTTACATTTTATCAGTTCCCTTATTAATGAATGAGGTTAAGTAAAATATTTGCTGCATGTTCATTTTATATGAGTCATGATCTTACCGTTTTGAAAAGTATCCTTTATAATGATATCAATTGAAAAGAGATGTCTCAGAATTAACTGAGATCACTTATATGAGGTGTCTAACATTGAAACACTAAAATACAGGTCAGGTAAAGTTTATTTTGAAGTAAAAGATAATAGCAGAAACGAAAGAAAAGGAGAAAATTACAGCTGAGCTGTGTGTGAGATTTAACTGCATAATCTCATTTAATATTGACACAACTTTGTGTGCTAGTTTTTAAAACCTCGTATCACAGATTAAGGCCCAGGCTTCTAGGTGCTTGGGAACTTGATCCAGACCAAGATGGTAGGGCATAGAGCTAAAATGGAAATCCAGATCTGTCTGACTCCAAAAGCCCATGCAAACCCCCACCAAACTCTGGCACAGGCCAAGGATCAGCAGCATAGTGTTGTGGGGAGGACATCTCCATGCATCACAGTGGGTGCTACAGGTGGGGAGAGAGAGGACAGCTGAGAACCCTGGGCACCCAGAAGGGGCACCAGAAGGAACAAGGGGAAGAAGAAAGCTGGCAAAACTGAGGACTTCCAGCCTTTGGCTGGCACAGGCTGTGCTCCCTACTGCGTTCTTCCTACTCTTCTGCCCCATAGAAAGCTGAGTTCAAGGAAATTCAAGTTCACACTAACTTTATACCTTTATCGAAGCAGGGATATTAACATTTTCAAAGACCTAAAAGTCACTCTTCTAGGCCATGGGCAATGTCAGTGACAAGATAGTACTGAGGACCCCTGACTCCTGGGATCATGTACCTACCCCCTAACCACATTCCTCTGAAGGCACTAGAGAGCCATGATTCATCAGAGTGGTGAACTCTCTGAGAGTCATTTATAATACCATTCATCAAACCACTGGCCAATATGTCAAGACTCTTAAAACGCTGAATATTTCCCTGTTTGTTTTTCAGTGTAAAAATAGATAAGAATGCACAGTTGGTGGTTAGGGAAAAGTTAAGACTGAGGATATATTAGCACATTTTAATTGTTTCACTATTATTTTTATTGGCAAAGAAAGTGAGGGCCACAAAAAAGCACAACCGGGAAACACCTGTGGGAGCTCTGTTGTGTGCCAGTCTGCTTAAATGGATCTGCTATGGGCTTTCTGGTTATGCTCTACATCTAGCTACGCACATCCTTGATATCTCAACAAAACCAATGTCTGCCTCAGACTCTGTGGGCCTTTTCAGTGATTTTTCAGTTTATTCTAATGTATCCTCTTTCCAGGGTAGTATATGGTCCCAAGTGTTCATTCAAATTATCATTGCAATATTTTAAATTACTATTCCTCTTCCTTACCTTATACTCTGACTAGTGATTTGGAAATACATAGGATTTTTTTGAAGAAGAAAAAATACTCTGGGTATGTTCTTGGTAAGTGAGAACAAAATGTCAAGCTTTCAAAATGAAAGTATATTTCCTAAATTACAAAACAAGGGACATTTCCAAAGGTCCATTTTTCTTCTCCTGACCTACTGGAGGTCATTTCAGTTAAAGCCCTTTGAGGATGAAGTGGCTACATTTTTATCCCAACTGCATGCCCAGGAGTCAGGGAAGGGAGCCTCTTCTTCCTTAACAGGCTTTTGGGCAACTAATCTAATCTCTCATATAAAACAGACTCAAGCCTTATTGGAAGCTACACCAAATATCCTTCGAATGATTGTGAAGATAACAGTAGATTATGCTTCCTGATGAAGTACAGTAATAATTGCTTAACTTCCTAGAATTCCTGCCCTCACATTTTTCCTGAAGGATATACAGCATACAAAATACAAAAATCATGAATAATAATAAATTCCTAATAGTCAAATAGAAATTTCTCCTAACTTGATTCCTTAAATTGACTTGGACTTTATATACTAGCATAAGAAAAATGCAACCCACTTGATATTAGTAATACAATTTTTGACAAAATTTTACTGTCATTTAGTCACTTGACATTTGTCCAGTCAGTTAAAGTAACCACATTATTTTAAAATACAATGTTGGAGAAAAAATTAATAAGGACAGCATGGTCATTAAAACAGGTCATTTTCTGGTGTTTAGTCTCGACTAAATCTACTAAACTTACTGAGTGAACCACTTAAAATGACCAAAAGAGACAAGCAATATTCATTTTGCCAACTATTGGCTGGTTGATTGTAAAATAGAAACTCATTAAAAGATGTATATAGTGATCTATATACATCTGCTCCTTTTAGTCTCTACATAGAGAGAAATTGCTTATCACTTGGCCCAAACCAGGAATAAGAATGATTTTCCATATGGTGGCCAAATGATCCATAGTAAAATAATAACAATAATATCAACTATTACATAGATCATGCCTTATATTAAATATTAGTTGTTTCTGGATACATACTAATAGCAATAATATTATCTACTAACCTTATAATCAATATAGTTTAATAAATTGTAATAAGACAGTTCCATAATCATAAACTAGGAATGAATACATGAACAGTGCTGCTAAAATCCTGCATTTTTATTTATAGTAAATCCTCTATAAATAAGGACTGGGTCAATCTCAACACTAGACTGTGAATTCCCTCCTCAGAATTGAAGTACCAAAACATTTTGGGAATAGTAGAGGATCTTTTTTATTTTATTTATTTATTTATTTTTTTATTGATCATTCTTGGGTGTTTCTCGCAGAGGGGGATTTGGCAGGGTCATAGGACAATAGTGGAGGGAAGGTCAGCAGATAAACAAGTGAACAAAGGTCTCTGGTTTTCCTAGGCAGAGGACCCTGCGGCCTTCCGCAGTGTTTGTGTCCCTGGGTACTTGAGATTAGGGAGTGGTGATGACTCTTAACGAGCATGCTGCCTTCAAGCATCTGTTTAACAAAGCACATCTTGCACCGCCCTTAATCCATTTAACCCTGAGTGGACACAGCACATGTTTCAGAGAGCACAGGGTTGGGGGTAAGGTCATAGATCAACAGGATCCCAAGGCAGAAGAATTTTTCTTAGTACAGAACAAAATGAAAAGTCTCCCATGTCTACCTCTTTCTACACAGGCACAGCAACCATCCGATTTCTCAATCTTTTCCCCACCTTTCCCCCTTTTCTATTCCACAAAAACGCCATTGTCATCATGGCCCGTTCTCAATGAGCTGTTGGGTACACCTCCCAGACGGGGTGGTGGCCGGGCAGAGGGGCTCCTCACTTACCAGTAGGGGTGGCCGGGCAGAGGCTTCCCTCACCTCCCGGACGGGGAGGCTGGCCAGGCGGGGGGCTGACCCCCCTACCTCCCTCCCGGACAGGGTGGCTGCCGGGCGGAGACGCTCCTCACTTCCCAGATGGGGCGGCTGCCGGGCGGAGGGGCTCCTCACTTCTCAGACGGGGCGGCTGCCGGGCGGAGGGTCTCCTCACTTCTCAGATGGGGCGGCCAGGCAGAGACACTCCTCACCTTCCAGACGGCGTCGCGGCCGGGCAGAGGCGCTCCTCACATCCCAGACGGGGCGGCGGGGCAGAGGTGCTCCCCACATCTCAGAGGATGGGCGGCCGGGCAGAGACACTCCTCACTTCCTAGATGGGATGGCGGCCGGGAAGAGGCGCTCGTCACTTCCTAGATGGGATGGCGGCCGGGTAGAGACGCTCCTCATTTTCCAGACTAGGCAGCCAGGCAGAGGGGCTCCTCACATCCCAGACGATGGGCGGCCAGGCAGAGACGCTCCTCACTTCCCAGACGGGGTGGCGGCCGGGCAGAGGCTGCAATCTCGGCACATTGGGAGGCCAAGGCAGGCGGCTGGGAGGTGGAGGTTGTAGCGAGCCGAGATCATGCCACTGCACCCCAGCCTGGGCACCATTGAGCACTGAGTGAACGAGACTCCGTCTGCAATCCCGGCACCTCGGGAGGCCGAGGCTGGTGGTTCACTCGCGGTTAGGAGCTGGAGACCAGCCTGGCCAACACAGCGAAACCGCGTCTCCACCAAAAAAATAGAAAACCAGTCAGGTGTGGCGGCGCGCGCCTGCAATCGCAGGCACTCGGCAGGCTGAGGCAGGAGAATCAGGCAGGGAGGTTGCAGTGAGCCGAGATGGCAGCAGTACAGTCCAGCTTTGGCACGGCATCAGAGGGAGACCATGGAAAGAGAGGGAGAGGGAGACCGTGGGGAGAGGGAGAGGGAGAGGGAGGGGGGAGGGGGAGGGGGAGAGGGGATCTTTTTTATTTTTAAGGAAATACTAGCTTCTTTGAGGATACACAATTTCTTACAAATTCTGGCAGTACATTCCAGAATGCTCTGATGTTAGGATATCTCTTTATGACAAAGGGCACATCTCATCTCCTTAGTCCTTTATCCCAAGGTAAGGACCTTGGGATGTCATTTTACACCTTGTTCTTTGATGGCTTCAATGTGAGTTGTATTCAGTGGTGCTCAAGCACAGCTGCTGGGCTTCCCTAAGCATGAAACTTGCTTGACTGTCTGCCTGTACCCAGCAATAGAAAAAACACCTCATTCTCCTTTTCCTGCCATCCACAACAAATATCAACAGATGATTCTGCAAATTGTACCAAGAGAACTTGTAACTTGTCCCTGAGTTTAACAGATGCTCACTGATGGCATAAAGAATGGAAGCACATTGCAAAAAATGTTGGGTCAGCAGCTACTCTGGTGCCTCATCCCAGGCACAACTTCGTAGGACTTTTTCCCTATTCTTCTCTTTGTCTGGGTGTCCCAGTTTTGTTTTAACTGTTGTCATTTGACGGGAACCCAGAAGAGACTACAGCAAAGACTACAACAAAACTAACCTATATTTTCGGGTTTTGTCCTAGAGAGTTACATGTGTAGATATATTTGTTGCCTCTACAAAGAGACTAGTTGTTTCACTGCTATGAAATGTAATTCTGCAACTAACACCATGTTAACTTAGCTACTAGAGAGCTGTGAATGGAGACTTGATATATACCAATGGGGTGCCCCTGGTCAGTGAGTTCTAAGAATAAAGGGCGATACTGGATGGAAATGGTCTCTTAAAGAAATTATCCTGTATTTTCAGGCTTATTAAATCTGTTTTGCTTTAAGATGATTATGATTAAAAATTTAAAAAACAGGATATATCAAGAATATACTTTTCAATTACATTCTTGCAGGAACTAAGTTAAAGCACCTATAAATGTGTTCTTTATTAAAAATGTAGTAAATTAAGAAGCAGCATAGGAAAGTGGTAAATAATACGTGTTTTGCATCACACAGAACCTGGGTTTGTGCCTTGGCTTTGCTATGCACCAGCTTTGTGACCTGGCATAATTATTTAACTAAGACTCAAATTCCTCACATGTGAAATAGCAAGAAGAAGAAAAAGAATACCTTTTTCATAGTTTTGATGTCTGGCAAAGAGTAGTTCTCAATAAGTGTTTGTTGTTATTATTATATTTATTAAACATTTAACTAACATTCATTTATTTAAAAAACATTGACTGAGAATCTGTTGTATACCAGACACTCTTCTAGAGGCTGAAGACACAATGGTGAAGGAGATAACAATTGCTATGATTTACTGAGGTTTGACCTTGTGCCTGGTATTGCGCTAAAAGTGTTTTACATGCATTAACACATTTCAAACTCACAACAGCTCATTGGTATGAATATTTGCATTTTTCAGATGAAAAAACTGAGGAAAAAGCTAAATAGCAATAAGGGGTGGAGGCAAAGAAAGCCTGCAGCCTTCAACGTGGTACAAGTTCTAGTGCCTAAGCCAGGTAATGAACAAGTGAACGAATAGGCAAATTCACAGACCAATGGTGGCTATGAACAAAATAAACCTCGGGATAAAGGACTAAGGAGAAGAGAATGGAAAGGGACTGGTGGAAGTGGAGGTCAGGGAGAAACTTAATGTTCATATGTAGCTCATGCTTGCCACAGGGCTTTTACCTGTTCACACTGTTCCCTGCCCTAGAATGCTGTTCCTGCAGACCTCAGCCTGGCATTCTAGGGCAGGGAACAGTGTGAACAGGTAAAAGCCCTGTGGCAAGCATGAGCTACATATGAACATTAAGTTTCTTCCTGAATTTTCTCAAGGCCTCTGTGCCTGCCCTGTTCCCTGCCTCTTTTCCCTTTACCCCTCTATTTGGTTTTATCTCCTTCAAAGTCCTGCATTCTCTGCTCCTCTCATTGCCTTCTCTTGCTTAATTTCCTATCTATCCTGGAGGATGAGCATAAGACAAAAGGATGAGAGAAAAGGAATGGAGGGAAAGCAGAAAAAATGCTAAAGAAAGACTTGGGCTATGACAAACTTCCATGGACGCTGCCTGCTGTCACAAAATAGGTTGGCATTTATGAATCTAGAATTCATCTGTTTCATGTATACACAAAGTGACCCCCAAATGCAGAAGGAGCTGAGAAACCAAAGAATGACAAATTCAGTTTTTCAGCACAGGGTAATTTATTAAGGGTTACTTTCAGACAGAAGCTTGGTATTTGGTGGCCATAAGACAGATCTCCAAACCGCAAACCCCAAACACAGAGCTTATATCTTAGGGAAAGTATATGCACTCTGGATGGAATTTGTAGGTGGCTGAGAGAATGCTGTGGGCATCACAGCCTGTGACCTATGCAATAGCAGCAAGGGTTGTTTTGGAGTAAAGGCAAAACTTACAGTGAAAAGGTATTTCTACATAAACAGTAATACAGATAGTCGTTCTGCCCCCACAACTTCATTACTTGAGACTTATTCATTGGATCTGTACTTCTTTTTACGTGTTACAACTTATTATTTTGGCATATAGATGTAAATAGCAAATACATTTAAATGAATAGATAAGAGAAATGTGGCAATTGTTTTGAAAAGCAGCAACTATAATTTCCCTCCTTGGACAGGTCCAAAGACAGTGCCTGTACATTGATTCTGAGCTGGGGAAGTCTCATTTCTTTTGATCATGGGAACCCTTTCTCCCTATGTGAATAAGCATGAGCTACCCTCCTGTAGGGAGATGTCTTAGCCTCCAACTGCTCCTGCGTTACCAAGGGAGGTCCCAGGTCTCTACATGAGGCCATCCCGGACCCTCTAGCCATTCAGAGAGAAAGTAGAATAGTGAGAAGTAATAAATGTTGGTTTTACGACACTAAGTTTGGGAATGGTTTGTTAGGCAGGAAAAGCTAACTGAGACAAGCAATAGCATTTTCTCTAGATAAAGTCTTGAAAGTAAAGATACTGCCATATTCTAAGTCATAGTCTTAAAACACTGCTTACCTTCTCACCAATGTAACCTGCTCATAATTTTAGTTATAAACTTTTGTAATTGTTGAGAATACAGAAGGGATGCTTATTAAATGTGAAGAGGACAGAAAATTGAGAATGACAGAATTAAGATTTTGGAAAGTCAAAATGATAAGATACATCCAACAAGTTGACATTTATTAATATAAAATATGGAGTTCTATATTTGGGTCTAAAATACCTACAACACAAATACAGCATGGCTTCCTATGTCTGGACTGAGGCATCTGTGGAAAAACACTTAGGGAAAATTCTCTTCCTTGATGAAGAGGAGATGAGGGAAAAACACAAGGAAATACCAAGGTCACCTGTACAACATAATTGGGTGTCATATTAGTTAGAGTTGGCTTACTGTTCCTGTTCTCATAAATTTTGTAATTGCTGACACATAAGAGGGGCCTATTTCTTGCTTGTGTAACACTGATGGAAAGGTAAGCAGATAGGGAGCGTGGTCCTCCTCCATACAGTCCTTGAGAAATCCAGGCTGACAGAGCTCTCCAGCCTTAGCATGAGGCTTTGACACCCCTTTGGGGTCTTCTCTATTTCAGTCATGCAGAGGGAGAAGGTGCATGAATAACACGTATGAGAGATGTTCACATAGCTTTGCATATAGCAAGCATCACTCCCTTTCTCATTCCATGGGCTATAGAACTCAGTCATATGACACTCCAACTTTAAGGGAGGCTATAAACTCTAGTCTAGCTATGTGTTTTGAAAGAAAGGAACATGGAATTTGGTGAGCAGTTAGCCTTCTCCACCCCAACATCTCATAAGTGTGCACACCTGCCCACCATTCCTCTTCATCCTACTCTTCTGATGAACACACTCCTTTACCTGCCCCCAGCTTCCTCACCTTTCATGATCCACTGCCATTAATGACCCTGAGATTACTCAGGTGAGTTGCCAAGAAAAAAATTGCTAACATGCAATGCTGGATATGACTTCAAACAAACTAAAAAGGTCATTCATACCAATATGGTGTCCAGAAGGAGGGAGATGTAAGACTCATTCTTCATTGATTACCTCAAGCATGAAGTATTGCATTCAGTTGTTTGTATCACATGTACACAAGGTTAAGGGAGGACCCAAAAGCATATAATAAGCAGGTAAAATAATTGAAGTTATTTAGGTAAGAACAAAGAAGGATCGTTGGAGAAGCCATGCTTGTCTCTAAATACATTTTTAGAAAAGCTTTTTCTCCCTTTAAAAAAAAAAGAAAAAAGACACTTTTTCCATATTCCCACCACCCAAAGACAAACACTGTTAACACAACTTTATAAAAATAATTCCTTCAGGATTATTTTCGATGCATAATCTTTTAAAAATATTTTTGCATTTTTATCAATCTTTCTAATGTTTGTGTATTTGTCATTTATAAAAACATAAGCATTCACTCATGTTTTTAAAAACTCTTTATAAACACAATTTCCTTACAACACATACTGTTTCACTGTGAAGATATATCACAGCCAATTACTTACCACTGAACATTTAGACTGCTCCCAAATTTCACTATTATAAATATTACTGGAATGCATATGTGTATGCAGAAAGAAGTCTTTCCCAATTCATTTAATTAAAGCACTATCTACAAGCATAAAATTTTCTCATACATACTGCAAATTGCTTTTCAGTATTTTTCTCCCACTGGTAAATGGATAAGAATCTGCATTTCACCAAACCCTGTTAATACTTTAAAAATATTTTCTAGTAGAAAGCGAGAGGAAATTCGTGTTTTGTTTAAGCTCCATTTCTTTGACTATTTGTGAGGTTGAACTGTTGTCCAAGGTTTTTTATCACTTATATGATCACATTCGTTAATTATTTTTTTCATGTAATTTGGCCAACTGTCTACTTGGAGTCCTAGTGACTCCTTTATTGATTTGTATCAAACAATTATAGTAACATTTTAGCATATCTGTCTAGTAATTTTTTCCAGTTTCTTTGCTTTTGTTATTATTCCTCATTATTTCTATAGAAGTTTTAAATTTTAATGCACTCAAAATTATTAAATTCTTCCCTTTTCCACCAATGAGTTTTAGTCTTTGAAAGTTATTTCCACCTCAGAGAGTAAATAAATATAAATTGATATTTTTTCAAGCTTTCTAGAATGCTTTTTGTTGTTGTTCTACTGTTTGTTTTTACATTTAATTTATAAATGAAGCCGTAACAGTATTTTGGAAGTTCTGGGTAAAATAAGGCTTTAAAGTGATTTCCCCAAATAGCTATCTTTAAATATTTAAGTGGATATCACGTGTGCAGATGTGTGTTGGAGAATTAAATTGGCTTTACATAGCTTAAAGAGAGAATTAGAACCACTTGATTAAGTTATAAATTGTTGGCCACATTAAAAAAAAAGAACATTGTTAGTGGTGATAATACTTAAAATATTAGGCTGGGTGTGGTGGCTCATACCTGTAATCTCAGCACTTTGGGAGACCAAGGCAGGTGGATCACTTGAGGTCAGGAGTTCAAGACTAGCCTGGCCAACATGGCAAAACCCTGTATCTACTAAAACACACACACAAAATATTAGCCGGATATGGTGGCAGGTGTCTGTAATCCCAGCTACTTGGGAGGCTGAGGCAGGAGAATCGCTTGAACCTGGGAGGTGGAGGTTGCAGTGAGCTGAGATCGCACCACTGCACTCCAGCCTGGGCAACAGAATGAGACTCTGTCTCAAAAACAAATCATTAATAAATAAAATAAAATAAAATATTTAAAAACTGTTATGGCGTGTACAACAAACATGCAGGTGGACACTAGCTGTAAAGAGCTGGTAATGGACCAGGCACGGTGGCTCATGCCTATAATCCAAGCACTTTGGGAGGCTGAGGCGGGTGGATCTTGAGGTCAGGAGTTCAAGACCAGCCTGGCCAAGATAGTGAAACCCCATCTCTACTAAAAATACAAAAATTAGCCAGGCACAGTGGCAGGTGCCTGTAATCCCAGCTATTCAGGAGGCTGAGGCAGGAGACTTGCTTGAAGCCAGGGGGCAGAGGTTGCAGTGAGCTGAGATAGTGCCACTGCACTCAAGCCTGGGCAACAGAGCAAGACTCTGTCTCAAAAAAAAAAAAAAAAAAAAGCTGGTAATGACCTTCAGGTGTGACAGCCCTGGCTGAAACTGCCTGAATATGAACTAGGCCATCTTGGGGTTAAAGGCACACTGAGCATATGCCTCAGTGAGCCCAGGAGAGGCCTCTTGCATAGGCCTAATTTTTTAAAGCTTTTTTTACTTTTAATGCTCCCTTAACTTAGCTTGGTTAAAGGGTACTCTGTCAATGAAGGTATTCAATTAAAGTGTGGTAACCGACTAGGAGGATGCAGAAGAAGGAATTCTGGCATTTTATTATGGAGCTGCACTATTGCAGAATCCTATTGTCAGATTCTTACAGCCATGGTGTATCCAACTGTGCTGGGGCCCCTACATCCTCTCCACAGCTGAGTAAGTGCTTGTGGAACTGCATATATGTTTATAAATTTCCCCAACCCAGTTCCCTTATGATATGGTGGTCTTTGCTTCTACTAACATCCCCGCTGATGCCCAACATAAGGCAAACCCAGCTTGTCTTGGTCATGGACTTTTGGAAAGCACACAAGGGGCTGATTACCACCTTCTCCCACTCAACACGCACCATCACCCTACCTGAGATGGGGGAGGTGAGACAGATTCCCACTGGGGATGGAGAAGAGTCACTAGTTGGGGTTGGATTCTCCAAAACTGTGAGATTTATGTGGCTTATTCCCATAGATCATAGAAGCCCTAATGTGGTGGGGACATTGTAAAAGGAAATATAATTATATGCTTTGACTGTCTCAGAGTCTGTGAGTTCTCTTGACCTTAAGGATAATCAAGAAGACACAAAATCATCCCTAGGCAATCTTTCAAGTGGCTGGGCAGTCTGACCACTTGGGCCTGAAGCTTTCCATTACCCAGCATAATAGCCAAGGGTTTTTTGGAGATAAACAACTATGAGTAGAATTTGACAATACATAGAAAGAGAATTAAGCTCCTCTGAATGTTATATCTATTAGGATGAATTAAAGACAGTCATTTTAATGATGAAGTATTCACATCAATGCAATTGAATGAAATCCCATATTAGGCAAGGGAAGGGAGTGATTAATTCAGGATCTTTAGTTGCAGAAAGAATTTTCTAGACTTACCAATAAAATATTTCTAACTCATTTTTGAATTAGGGGGTCTGGGAAACCAGGTTTACATTTGTGATCAGAGGAGACTTCTCCAGGAATCTACATATAAAATTGGATGGTTAATACAGAGAGGCTAGCTTCCTTAAGAGTGCTTGAGGTATTTAACATGGTTGTCTCCTGGGAGTCAGAGTAGACCTCCTGAAACATGATTTTCTGCAAAAATGCTGGCTGAGTTAACTAGAGCAGGGCCTTCAAATTAAATGTCCACATTCTGACTGCTTTGGCAGTGTGTGGATGTGAGGTCTTGTAAGAGATTGAATAGTTATTTATTTATTTATTTTTATTTTTTGTTTTTCTTTATTTCTTCTAAAAAAAATGGGATACATCTGCAGAACGTGCAGGTTTGTTACATAGATATACATGTGCCATGGTGATTAGCTGCACCTATTGACCCAACCTCTAAGTTCCCTCCCTCACCCCCCACTCCCCAACAGGCCCTGGTGTATATTGTTCCCCTCTCTGTGTCCATGTGTTCTCATTGTTCAACTCCCACTTATGAGTGAGAACATACTGTGTTTGGTTTTCTGTTCCTGTGTTAGTTTGCTGAGGATGATGGCTTCCAGCTTCATCCATGTCCCTGCAAAGGACATGATGACATGACCTCATTGCTTTTTATGGTTGGATAGTATTCCATGGCATATATGTACCACATTTTCTTTATCCAGTTTATCATTGATGGGCATTTATGTTGGTTCCATGTCTTTGCTATTGTAAACAGTGCTGCAATAAACATACGTGTGCATGTGTCTTTATAGTAGAATGATTTATATTCCTTTGGGTATATACCTAGTAATGGGATTGCTGGGTCAAATGGTATTTCTGATTCTAGATCCTCGAGGAATTGCCATACTGTCTTCCACAATGATGGAACTAATTTACATTCACATCAGCAGTGTAAAAGCATTCCTATTTCTCCACAGCCTCACCAGCATCTATTGTTTCTTAACTTTTTAATAATCACCATTCTGACTGGCATGAGATGGTATCTCACTGTGGTTTTGATTTGCATTTCTCTGATAATCAGTGATGTTGAGTATTTTTTCATGTGTTTGTTGGCTGCATAAATGTCTTCTTTTGAGAAGTGTCTGTTCATATTCCTTGTCCGCTTTTTGATGGGGTTGTTTGTTTTTTTCTTGTAAATTTGTTTAAGTTCCTTGTAATTCTGGATATTAGACCTTTGTCTGATGGGTAGATTGCAAAAGTTTTCTCCCATTCCATAGGTTGCCTGTTCACTCTGATGATAATTTCTTTTGCTGTGCAGAAGCTCTTTAGTTTAATTAGATCCCATTTGTCAATTTTGGCTTTTGTTGCAATTGCTTTTGGCATTTTCGTCATGAAGTCTTTGCCCATGAAGGTATGGTGCTTTAGGACCAATAAATTCCTTAAAGGAGATGTAGCTAAGAATCTCCAAAATGTAATCCACATCTGTGCTTAAGGGGAGAGAGCAGAGTTGCATCCTGTTGGTTCATGGGAAGCCCACATGCTTTCATGATGGAAAGGCTTGCAAGTCCATGCTGTTTCTGCCATCCCCAGCTTACATTTTTTTCAACTTCAGGGGCTTTCTTAGAGTTGAACAGGTAGAACGATATACCCCTCTGGCTGCCTCATTCCACTCCACCTTAAGGCTCTTATATTAGAGCTCTGAAAGCAGGAAATAATGATAAAGCTGCCACCTGGAAAGCTACTTTTCTCTCATGTGCAATGTAAAGCAAGCAGCTCTCGTTGCTTTCTTGTGTTTATGGCAAATGCCTTTCAAGAAGATGTAGGAACCTGCAAAATGCATGCTGGAAAATTACTCGGGAGCACTCAATTCCACCCTCAGCATATCCTGAGCAGTGGCCACATTTATTTGTAGAAATCATGCTCAAGTACAATGAAGACAAAAAGTCCTCGAAATATCACAGCCTTTATACTCGGGAGATAAACATTCACAAGCCGGCCCCAACTGCACCATACCAAGATAAGTATGGACCTGCAGGATAGCCTAGGCTGTGCTGCAGTGACAGACCAACAGAAATATCAGTGTTTCAATACATAAAGTTTTGCTTATTCAAAGTCTACTAGGAGCCCATTAGCTCTGTACAGCAGCTTCTTTTCAAGCAATGACACAGGGATCCAGACTGACTTCACTGAGGCTGTCTCTTCTCAATGGTGGCCAAACCAATCAACATGGGAGGGTAAGTGGGAGCTGCAGGTTGCCTAGAAGCTTTATGGCACCTTAATGGCCAAGTTGAGGCATAGCTCACTCCTGCCACATCCCATGGGCCAGGACCAGTCACATGGTGCCAGCTAACTGTAAAGGAGACTAGGAAGTGGAGGGCAGCACCTTTTGTGTGATGAGCATTAAATGTCTCTGCTACAACCTTTTGCTCAGTCAGGGAAAATGAGAAGAGAGACTCTCCTTTAGGAACATCAGATTTAGTAATATTAGACATGGAGGCACAATACTCATTCTGTGCAATACCAGATTATTCAGGAATACAAGACAGAAAAAAAGATGGAGCTGTTCCCATATCTATAGCTATAATTATGGCCTTTTGACACAAGCTTTCTAAGCTCAGTTACATTAATTTAGCTCTCTCATTATAAATGATGAATTTTATTGGTTTTCCTAATGTCCTTTATTCTTTGTAGAGGAGTTTAACAGTCATCAAAGCTGATTATAATGTACTTGTTAATGTTTTCAATTTAATTCAAGCATGAAGTGGGGTTTATGACATTTCTACAATAAATCTCATTGTTAATTCATTGTTTCTTCCATCCAACATCCTTGTTTTCCTTGTTAGATTTAATTAAAAATCCATTTGAAGCACATCTATAGCCTTACTAATATAATATTCAAAAGCTCTACACTACACCAGAAATGCATGAATCATCTCTCTATACTGCATCATTCTCTCATTGTAACTATGCTTTTTATTATTTAGCACTTAAAAATTCAGGAAGAAGGTTCATGAAGTTCATTAATCAGTTCATATTTAATCATATCTTCATAATTTTAGAAGGGTGTATATTTTTTCATAAATTAGATAATGAGCTTCCAGTAAAAATTACCTGGAATACTTTTGGGTCAAATTGAGAATATAAGGCAATGGCCCTTACACAAGACCAAAC
The DNA here is from genome assembly GCF_000001405.40 of Homo sapiens. Lineage (NCBI taxonomy): Eukaryota > Metazoa > Chordata > Mammalia > Primates > Hominidae > Homo > Homo sapiens. Next base: position 60,581 of record NW_017852931.1, read on the forward strand.
TGATTTGATAATAAATTAATAATATGTCAAGTAAATTATAAGGTTAACTGTTACTTTACTCCTTTTCTTCACAAATCTCTTCCTATCTCTACTTGAAGAGCTGTTAGCTCACTCAAATTTAAGACAGAGGATTTAAACTCTTCAATAATAAGAACATATCTAACTACTCATCTGGGTACAGTTGTAATGTACAATCTTACTGCTCCAAGATATATATATAATGGCACTTGAGTTACAAAGTCATATTTTGGTATCTATGAGAAGAGTAAGAGACTGAACATAGTTAATCTTACAAATCACAGTTTCCTGGAGTTTCAAGGGTCATTGAAGGTCATTTAATTGACTCTCCTATTCACTATGTCATTCCTTCTAAAGTATTACTGTCAGGTAACCATCTGGCTTCTCCTGGAACGCTTTTAATGAAAAGGGGTTCACAATATTTCCAGGTCATTGCAATGTTAAAGTTCATTGTTGGATGTAACCTACTTTATTTGGAACAAAAACTTATCTTTATATAACTTCTTCCCAATGATCTTAACTCTACCATGTCTAGAAACACAATTTCTCTCCCTACTGACAGCTATGATGTCTGCCTTTAATATTTTTTTAGTGGAAAGCCTAAATCCCTCAATCATTAACAGTGAGATGGTTTAGAGACTCCTTACCGCATTGATCATCCTCTGCATTAGTGGTTGTCAGCTGGATGGGGATAGCCGCTACTTGGAACAGGGGGATTGGGTTTGTCTGGGAGGACAGTAGGGTTTTGTTCCCCTTACCTCTTGATTATAAGATGCTTCCTAAGGAGGAAAGCCTTTTCTCCATTCTTGGAATGACTGGAGTGAGTCCCCATAACTGATGATTTGTGTGAGAAGCCTACTAAATGTCAGCTAAAATTTGTTAACATGCTCTCTTAATATGATGTCCTAATTTTAATACAGAACTCCAGCTGTAGCTTGATAATTACAAAATATAATAAAACTAGTATCTCCCATATTCTGAAGATCCCACCTATAGTGATATAGCTATCACCTGAGCTTTCTCAGGCCCTAAAACCTATAAATATACATGGTTTATTATTAATCATAAAAAAACAAATTTTATTGACTTTCATCTATGCTGTCTCACTCAGCTACTTAGTGCCTCCTGCTACCCCACCCACAGACACATAGCAGGTATATCTTAGAATTTCACCAAGAAGTTAAAAAAAAAAGACAAGACAACTACAGTCAATCAGATGTAGTGGATTTTATCATTTAATTCCCACAGCAGGTCTGTTATGTGAGTTACTTTACAAAGCAAAAAATAACATCAGAGAGGCTAAGTAATTTGCTAAGGTTCCATGTCTCTCAAAAGGCAGATTACTGTATAATTGCATAAATAATCATGAGCTGTTGTGCAATATGATAACAGATGATACAATCATTTAGCATAACAGCTTTAAATTATCTTGTCTCAAATTTCTAGCAACCTAGAACCTAGATGACCATTCCAAATTATTGTTGGTTTCATTGGCTGTATTTTCACAGGACTGCAGACTCCCACAGCTCGCTCTGTGTGGTGATCAAGGTCAAGGCTGTAGTCAGGGTCTACATACTGTTTTTCAAGGTGAAGCACACTTACTAGGCATACTAAAGCTATGTATTCAAGACAAGTGGAAGTGAAAGGTCATGAACATGGTGACTGCTTTGAGTACTTGAGCATCTAAGGCCCTTCACCTCCCTCAGAACTGTTTCAAATGTATCCTCAAACCACATTACCCAAATCTCACACCAATCTGAGTTCTGTCTCTCTGTCTCTAACTGGCCAGGTCAGAGACCTATGCTTTAGGCTCCTACACTTTATAGACCAGAAAGGTCATTCTGCAGCAAGTGGAATGTGACTGCCAGACGCTTCATGTCTGAGCTTTTATAATGCATGAGCAGGTCCAACTAATACTAATTGCAGGGAAAATGTTTCAGTGTTTAAATCAGAATATGCTCCTTATGATTACTTTTGAAATCTATCATATCCAAGCAGCTTATGACTGAGAACTCTAGAAAGTCAGGAAAAAAAAATCCTAGTTTTGGGAATTTAAAGCCATATGAAGAATATGGTACAGTTAATGACTCCCCCACAGCTATGATGTCAAGCTGGTTGGGAACCACCCCAGGAATATCCTGAGTTCTTTTCCTTGGGCTTTGATCTAAAAGTATCTCTTTGATGGAAGCTACTCCTTCATGTAAAAAGAGACAGCTCCATAAAGGAGGCAAGCAAAATCTTCTGGACTGATTTCTCTTTTGGGATCAGATTTCTGGATATGGATAAACAACATTTAAAAAAAAATTTCCAGTCATCTTTACCATTCTTAATGCTTTATGTAATTTTTTAAAATCTTATCAGGATAAATTTTGTAACAGCTCTGAATTGAGTTGTACTCTCCCCTCATTAAAAACAATAATAAAATAAATAACAACAGAACAAAACACCATTATCAAAGCAGGAAGTTAGCTCAGGGAATAGAGCAAATGAAACACAAAACACACCCTCTTAGAAACTGACATAGTAGAAAAAGCACGGCATTAAATATCAAATCTATAGCTGATCAATCTTGTGAAGATCATATGAAAATTGGCATACAACAGAAAATGCTATTGAAATATTGTTATTAAATTTAAGCCTCTCACTTAGAAACAGGCATATATATGGACTCACGCATTTATTCAATCAACAAATATCTGTAGAGTACCTGGCACATACCACTGAGATAAATGTTAGGTATTTATTCTGACTTAAGTTACTGGAACAGTTTTTCTAATCTTGTCTATGATTTTTACAGAGAATAAAATAATTTTCTGTTGCATGATTTAAAACTCTCAGCAACAGGTTGCAGTAATAAATCATCTAAAGCATATCTGTTCACTTTTGGACTTCATGCCACCACTGCAATCCAATTATATGTTACTTATCATAAAAACTCAGGGGGTTTCTTCACATTAAGGTATTTGCATTCATGGAAAAATTGAGGTACAAGGCCTATTTTTGATTGTTTTAACATGTATGGCTACCTGTGTCCCTGATTTCTGATCAAGTTGAGGAGACAGAATGAACTGAGAGAAGAACGTTAAGCATTTGAGAGATCAATCTTTTGCGTGAGTAGGCCCAACAGAGCAATCTAACATGTTCTTTTGAAAAGTGTGAGAGTGGTAGGAGGGAGAGGAGAAGAAAAAAATAACTATTGGTACTAGGCTTAGTACCTGGGTGATGAAATAATCTGTACAACAAAACTCCCGTGACATGAGTTTACCTATATAATAAACCTGCACGTGTACCCCCGAACCTAAAATAAAATTCTTTTTAAAAAAAAGGAAGAAGAAATTCTTGGTTTTGGAAGGACTGTGGGGGAAGGGTAAAGAATAAAGGCACAGTTGAGTGGATGTGCCTCTGCCGGAGAATGGGGAGTGGTGACACTGTTTCTCCCATTGGGTGCCCGGGTTAATTCCCGGCTACAATCCCTGGTAGTGGAGATGATGAGGTGGGCATTTCTCTCCACATCCATCTTGCAGAAGGCGAGAGACAGCCACCCTCAGTGCTACAGTGAGAAAGAGGGCTTGTTGTTAGTTACTTAAGGCTGGGGAAGAAATGGGTATTCTTTTGGCAAAGCAAGAACAAAAATAGTGGTGGTGCATCTTTTTAAGTGGGGGAACATTCAAGGATTTCCCAGCAAAATAAAAAAAAAAACAAAAGATTCCCACTATCTCCACACCTGTCTATAATTGTAGTGAAGGTATTTACCAATGCGATTGGCCAATATGAAGTAGTTATAGGCATAAGAATTAGAAAGGAAGAGATATAACTAACTGTATTTGCAGAAGGTATAATTATTAAATACCTTGAAAACCTCAAAGCATCCCTGAAAAAACACTACAGAAATAACATAATTCAGTGAACATAGAGAAATTATTTGTCCCTATACATACGCAGCATAACCTAACGAAGATAAAATGGAGGCAAAGACTCCATTTACAGTAGTAAAAATAGTAACAGTAATAATAACAGAAAACCTAGGCATAATTTAGCAGTACATATCTAACACCTATGTGAAGACAATTATAAAACACTCCTGAAAGACACAAAAACAAACCTGAGCAAACGGAATTACACTTACCTTGTTTGGGATAGGAAAGCTCAATACTCACTATGTCAATTCTCCTTAAATTAATTTATAAATGAAATGTGTTCACTACAAAAATATTCTCATAATTTTTTCCAGAGTGGATAAGTTGATTACAAGAAGCAAGAAGAGCCACAAAAAAAAAAAGAAAAAAGAAAAAGAAAAAGAAAAAAAGAAGAAAAACATCCTGAAAATCAGAAAAATGGAAAGGGGCAAGAAATATACCATGGAAATTACTTCACAGCATAAGGTAAAGGTATTATCTAATATTAAAACATAGTGCCCTCTAAGTATAGTTCTGTATTATTAGAGAGTGAACAGATAGACTAATAGTAAACTTAAAAATATATTCAATGGAATCTTGTCTCAATGGAGACAAGATGGACTTTTCAGTAAGTGCTGGAGTAAGTGGATGATTATATTTGTAAACCAATAAAATTGAATCCATTGTACTATATAAACATACCAGAGATTTAAATGTTAAAAATAAACCATGTAAGTTTTAAATTCTGTTTACATGATGTATCACATTTATTGACTTGCCTATGTTAAACCATACCTGCATTCCTGGTATGAAACCCACTTGATCATGATGTATTATCTTTTTGATACGCTGTTGGATTCAGTTAGCTAATATTTTGTTGAGGATTTTTCCATCTATGTTCATCAGGGATACTGGTCTGCAGTTTTCTTTTTCTGTTATCTCCTTTCCTGGTTTTGGTATTAGGTTGATATTGGCTTCACAGTATGATTTAGGGAGGATTCCTGCTTTCTCTATCTTTTGAAATAGATTCAGTAAGATTGCTATTACTTCTTCTTTGGATATCTGATAGAATTTGGCTGTGAATCCATCTGATCCTGGACTTTTTTTTTGTTTGCAATTTTTTAAATTACTGATTCAGTCCAAGTCTTAAATCTAAGACCCCAAACCATAAAAATTCTAGGAGATAACATCAGAAAAATTCTTCTAGATGTTGGCTTCGGCAAAGAATTTATGACTAAGAACCCAAAAGCAAATCCAACAAAGCCAAAAATAAATAAATGGGACCTAATTAAAGTAAAAGCTTCTGCACAACAAAAGAAATAATCAGCAGAGTAAACTGACAACCCAGAGAGTGGGAGAAAATATTCCCAAACTATGCATCCAACAAAGGACTAGTACCGAGAATCTAAAAGGAATTCAAACAAATCAGCAAAAAACAAACAAACAAACACAACAAATAAGCCCAACAAAAAGTGGGCAAAGAAGCCAGGCACTGTGGCTCATGCCTGTAATCCCAGGACTTTGGGAGGCTGAGGCAGGCGGATCACTTGAGGTCAGGAGTTCGAGTGAATCCAGACTGGCTAACATGGTGAAACCCCATCTCTACTAAAAATACAAAAAAAATTAGCTGGGCGTGGTGGCACCTGCCTGTAATCCCAGCTCCTTGGAGGCTGAAGCTCAATAATCGCTTGAACCTGGGAGGCGGAGGTTGCAGTAAGCCGAGATGTTGTCACTGAACTCCAGCCTGGGTGACAGAGTGAGACTCCATCTCAAAAAAAAAAAAAAAAAAAGTGGGCAAAGGACATGAATAGACAATTCTCAAAAGAAGGTATACGAACAGCTCACAAACATATGAAAAAATGCTCAACATCACTAATTATCAGGAAAATGCAAATTCAAGCCACAAGGAGATACTACCTCACTCCTGCAAGAATGGCCATAATTTAAAAATCAAGATCATGGCAGACTGGAGGCAGGACTAGATTGCAGCTCCAGACAGATCAGCAGGTGGGGACTCATATTGCAAATTTTAGCTCTAGATCGACTGCAAGAACAAACCAGCAATCTTGGGAGGACCCACAGACCCTCTGCAGGAAGTGGACTGCTCCTGCAGGACCTGGGAGGCACCCCCAAAACAGTGAGTGCCCCAACTGCGGAAGTGGGAAAGGGAGACCATCCCCTCCCAAACACACATCCCCACTGGAGAAGCCGAAGGCCTGTTTGCCGGAGAAGTTTCCGACTTTACCTGGAGCTGAGTCAATCTGGAGAGCCGAGGGAAATACACGGGTAGAGAAAGCAGCAGAAAGGCCCTGGGAGCTCGCTGGGTCCCCTAGCAGGCCATTCCTGCCTGGCACCTCAGGGATCCAACAGGAGAGGAGCAGGGGTAAAACTACACAAGGAGAAGGAAATCTCTAGCTGAACTTTGTAATAATTTGAACGGGTTAAGAAGCCTCCTGGCCAGAACTCAGCGCAAATCCGTTGTGCAGACTCCACAGCAGGGGAAGAACCAAGCCCTTTTCTTTAGCAGCTGGGAGGCGGGTAGCCTGGGGCAGGTTTCCAAGCCCGTGTAGCTCTCCGCCTGGAAAGGACTGGCGGCTGTTGTTGGGGCACCGTAGGAATGAGACACCCCCTTCTGTTTGCATGGGAGCTGGGTGAAGCCTGTGACTGCCGACTTTCCCCCACTTCCCTGACAACCCGCATGGCTCAGCAGAGGCAGCCATAATCCTCCTAGGTACACAACTCGATGACCTGGGAATCTCACCCCATTCTCCACAGCAGCCGCAGCAAGACAGTCTGAGCTCAGACATACCTAGGCCCAGCCCCAACTGATGGTCCTTCCCTGCTCACCCAGTAGTGGAAGACAAAGGGCATATAATCTTGGGAGTTCTAGGGCCCCGCCCACTGCCAGTTCCTCCCCATACTACCACAGCTGATGCTCTCTGGAAAGTACCACCTCCTGGCAGGAGGCCAACCAGCACAAAAATAGAGCAGTAAACCACCAAAGCTAAGAACCCTCATGGAGTCCATTGCACCACCCCGCTACCTCCACTGCAACAAGCACTGGTATCCACGGCTGAGAGACCCATAGGCGGTTCACATCACAGGACTCTATGCAGACAACCCACAGTACCAGACCGGAGCCAGGTAGACTCACTGGGTGGCTAGACCCAGAAGAGAGACAACAATCCCCATCAGAATACCACCATCATTCTTCACAGAATTAGAAAAAACAATTCTAAAATTCATGTGGAACCAAAAAAGAGCCTGCATAGCCAAAGCAAGACTAAGCAAAAAGAACAAATCTGGAGGCATCACACTGCCTGATTTCAAACTATACTATAAGGCCATAGTCACCAAGACAGTATGGTACTGGTACAAAAATAGGCACACAGACGAGTGGAACAGAATAGAGAACCCAGAAATAAACCCAAATACTTACAGCCAACTGATCTTTGACAAAGCAAACTACAAGCATAAAGTGGGGATAGGACACCCTTCTCAACAAATGGCCCTGGGATAATTGGCTAGCCACATGTAGGAGAATGAAACTGGATCCTCATCTCTCACCTTATACAAAAGTCAACTCAAGATGGATTAAGAACTTAAACCTAAGACCTGAAACTCCAAAAATTCTAGAAGATAACATTGGAAAAACCCTTCTAGACATTGCCTTAGGCAAGGGTTTCATAACCAAGAACCCAAAAACAAATGCAATAAAAACAAAGATAAACAGCTGGGACCTAATTAAACTAAAGAGCTTTTGCACGGCAAAAAGAACAGTCAGCAGAGTAAGCAGATAACCCACAGAGTGGGAGAAAATCTTCTCAATCTATACATATTGACAAAGGTCTAATATCCAGAATCTACAATGAACTCAAACAAACTGGTAAGAAAAATACAAACAATTCCATCAAAAACTGGGCTAAGGACATAAACAGACAATTCTCAAAAGAAGATATACAAATGGCCAACAAACATATGAAAAAATGCTCAACAACACTAACAATCAGGGAAACGCCTATCAAAACCACAATGCGATACCACGTTACTCCTGCAAGAATGGACATAATAAAAAAATCAAAAAACAGTAGATGTTGGTGTTGGTGTGGATGCAGTGATCAGGGAACACTTCTATACTGCTGGTTGGAATGAAAACTAGTACTATTTTCCACTGTGGGAAATAGTGTGGAGATTCCTTAAAGAACTAAAAGTAGAACAATCATTTGATCCAGCAATTCCACTACTGGGTATCTAACCAGAGGAAAATAAGTCATCATCATGTGAAAAAGATACTTGTACATGCATATTTATAGCAGCACAATTCACAATTGCAAAATCGTGGAACCAACCCAAATGCCCATCAATCAATGAGTGGATAAAGTAATTGTGAGATATATATATATACACACACACACACACACACATACACACACACAGTGGAATACTACTCAGCCATAAGAAGGAATGAATTAACAGCATTTACAGTGACTTGGATGAGATTGGAGACTATTATTCTAAGTGAAGCAACTCAGGAATGGAAAACCAAACATTGTATGTTCTCACTGATATGTGAGAGCTAAGCTACGAGGACGCAAAGGCATGATAATGATACAATGGACTTTGGGGACTTGGGGGGAAGAGTGGGAGGGGGGCAATTGATAAAAAACTACAAATACAGTGCAGTGTATACTGCATGGGTGATGGGTGCGCCAAAATCTCACAAATCACCATTAAAGAACTTACTCATGTAACCAGATACCACCTGTACCCCAATAACTTATGGAAAAATAAAATTAAAAAAATAAAGGTTTATTAATTTTAAAGAAAGATTTCATTGTTGGCTTTTAGTTAACATCTTTATTGATGATCTGAGGAAAGGGTAATCAGTTTGTCAAATTTCTATGTTATTCAATTAGTAACTATTCTAAAAAAAAGTTGGAGGATAATAAAGTGATACTAGTAGATTAGAGAAGTCAAATATTCTACCAGGAAAAGTAAAGAATAGACACATTTACTATCTAAAGAATCATTCTCTTTTTTTTTATGAACAAAAATTCTACAAAAGAATCCCAAATCATTTTAAATTAACTTGATTTAAAGCAAAAGATGGAGGAAGTCCTAGCTAGAGCAATAAGACAAGAGAAAGAAAGAAAGAAAGAAAGAAAGAAAGAAAGAAAGAAAGAAAGAAAGAAAGAAAGAAAGCATCCACACTGGAAAGGAAGAAGTTAAATTATCCTTGTTTTCAAATGATATGATCTGATATTTGGAAAAAGCTAAAGACTCCACCAAAAAACTATTAGACCCAATAAACAAATTCAGTAAAGTTGCAGGATAAAAAAATCAACATACAAAAATCAGTAACATTTCTCTATGCCAACTGCAAACAATCTGAAAAAGAATCAAGAAAGTAATCCCATATAAAATAGCTACAAATAAAATTAAATACCTATGAATAAGCTTAACCAAAGAAGTAAAATATCTCTACAAACAAAACTATAAAACACAGAGAAAGAAATTGAAGAGGACACCAAAAGATGGAAAAAAATTAAATGTTCATGGATTGGAAGAATTAATATTGTTAAAATGTCCATACTGCCCAAAGCAATTGTGAACCCAGAAAATCTGAGACAGAGCTCAGGTAATTTAGAAAGTTTATTTTTGCCAAGGTTGAGGACATGCCCATGACACAGCCACAGGAAGTCCTGACAACATGTGCCCAAAATGGTTGGGCATGGCTTGGTTTTATACATTTTAGGGAGACCTGAGACATCAGTCAATACATATAAGAAGTACATTGGTTCGGTCTGGAAAGGTGGAACAACTTAAAGCAAAGGCAGGAAGACTTGATGTGGGGAGGGAGCTTCCAGGTCACAGACAGGTGAGAGACAAATGGTTAACATTCTTTTGAGTTTCTGATTAGCCTTTCCAAAGGAGGCAATCAGATATGCATCTATCTCAGTGAGCAGAGGGATAACTTTGAATACAATGAGAGGCAGGTTTGCCTTAAGAAGTTTCCAGCTTGAGTTTTCCTTAATAATTTTGGGGGCCCAAGATATCTTCCTTTCACACAATCTACAGATTCAATGCAATCTCTACCAAAATACCAATGACATTCTTTACAGAAATAGAAAAAACAATACTAAAATTTATATAGGACCACAAAAGACCCAGAAGAGCCAAAGCTATCCTGAACAAAAGGAACAAAGCTGGAGGAGTCATATTACCTGACTTCAAATTATACTACAGAACTATAGTAACCAAAACAGCATGGTACTGGCATAAAAACAGACACATAGACCAATGGAACACAATAGAGATCCCAGAAATAAATCTATACATTTACACTGAGCTCATCTACAAAGGTGCCAAGAACACACACCGGGGAAAGGACAGTCTATTCAAGAAACGATTCTGGGAAAGCTGGATATCCATATGCAGAAGGATGAAACTAGGCCCCTATCTCTTAACATATATAAAACAATCAAATCAAAATGGATCAAAGACTTAAATCTAAGACCTCAAATTATGAAGCTACTACAAGAAAACATTGGAGAAATATGTCCAGGGCATTGGACTGGGCAAAGATTTGTTGAGTAATATCCCACAAGCACAGGCAACCAAAGAAAAAAATGGACAAATGGGATCATTTCAAGTTAGAAAGCTTCCACACAGCAAAGAAAACAATCAACAAAGTGAAGAGAAAACCCACAAAATGGAGAAAACATTTTCAAACTATCCATCTGACAAGGGATTAATAATCAGAATATATAAGAAGCTCAAACAATTCAACAGGAAAAAATCCAATAATCTGATTAAGCAATGGGCAAAAGATCTGAATAGACATGTCTCAGACAAAGACATACAAATGGCAAACAGGCATGAAAATCTGCTCAACATCACTGATCATCAGGAAAATGCAAGTCAAAACTACAGTGAGATACCATCTCACCCCAGTTAAAATTGCTTTTATCCTAAAAACAGGCATTAACAAATGTTGGTGAGGATGTGGAAAAAAGGGAACCCTTGTACACTGTTGATAGGAATGTAAATTAATTCAACCACTGTGGAGAACGGTTTGGATCTTTCTCAAAAAAATAAAAATAGAACAAATAAATGATCTAGTAATCCCACTATTAGGTATATACCTAAAAGAAAGGAAATCAGTATATCAAAGAGATATCTGCACTCCATGTTTATTATTGCAGCACTATTCACAATGGCCAAGATTTGGAAGCAACTTAAGTGTCTATCAACAGATGAATGGATAAAGAAAATGTGATACATATGCACAATGGAGTCTTATTCAGCCGTACAAAACAATGAGATCCTTTCATTTGCAATAACAGGAATGGAACTGAAATTCAATAAGTTAAGAGAAATAAACCAGTCACAGAAAGACAAACTTCACATGTTCTCACTTATTTGTTGAGCTAAAAATAATTAAAACAACTGAACCCATGGAGATAGAGAATAGAATGATGGTTACAAGAGGCTGGGAAGTGTAGTCAAGGAGGGTGAGGGTGGATGGCTAATGGGTACAAAAATGTAGTTAGAATAAGATCTAGTATCTGATAGCATAATAAGGTGACTACAGTTTCTTGTGCATTTAAAAATAACTGAAAGAGTATACACTGGATTGTTTGTAACACAAAGAAAGGATAAATGCTTGAGGTGATGGATACCCCATTTACCCCGATATGATTATTATGCATTGAATGCCTGTATAAAAATATCTCATGTACCCCATACATATATATATAACTACTATGAACCCACAAAAATTAAAAATTAAAAACAATATAAGAATATTTGATGGGCAAAACATTAATTAATTCACTGCTCAATAAATAGGCAAAAATATGAAAAGTCACAAAAAGTGACATACAATTAGTAAAATAACATGATAAAATGTTCAATGTATTTATTTGACAATGTTCATTCGAAAAATGTTCAAGCAAAATAAATCATCGAAATTTTAAAAAATAAATTAGATGTCATTTTGTCTATTCAATGTTGTCTATTGGAGCTGGATATTACTAAAAGCAATGTTATGGTAAATAGCGAAATAGACCAAATATTAAAATGCTCACACCCTTGACCAGATCATTAAATGTCTAGAAATATCTCTTTATTTTCCTTCAACTTTTAAGTTCCAGGGTACATGTGCAGGGTGTGCAGGTTCATTACATAGGTAAACATGTGCCATGGTGGTTTGCTGCACAGATCAACATGTCACCTGGGTATTAAGTCCATCATACATGAATTAGCTATTTTTCCAGATGCTCTCCCTCCCCCCACCCCTCCAACAGGCCCCAGGGTATGTTGCTCCCCCCGCTGACCCTGTGTTCATGTGTTCTTATTGTTCAGTTCTCACTTATAAGTGGTAACATGTGGTGTTTGATTTTCTGTTCCTGCATTAGTTTGCTGAGGATGATGGCTTCCAGCTCCATCTGTGTCCCTGCAAAGAAAGTGATCTTGTTCCTTTTTGTGGCTGCATAGTATCCCATGTGTATATGTACCACATTTTCTTTATCCAGTCTATCATTGGTGGGCATTTGGGTTGATTCCATGTTTTTGCTATTGTGAAGCAATAGTGATAGGCATTTGGGTTGATTCCATGTCTTTGCCATTGTCAATAGTGCTGCAACGAATATACGTGTGCATGTATCTTTATAACAAAATGATTCATATTCCTTTGGGTATATACCCAGTAATGGGATTGCTGGGTCAAATGGTATTTCTGGTTCTAGATCTTTGAGGAATTGCCACACTGTCTTCCACAATGATTGAACTAATTTACATTCCCACCAACAGTGTAAAAGCATTCCTATTTCTCCACAGCCTCGCCAGCATCTGTTGCTTCTTGACTCTTTAATATTTGCCATTCTTGTGTGAGATGGTATCTCATTGTGGTTTTGATCTGCATAGAAATATGTCTTAAGAAAATGTTCTGAAATACAAATGCTTTATGTAAGAATAAATAAATACATACATAAAATAAAACACAAGATGGAATGATAAGGACAGTTTTATTTGTGATTATGATGCCATATTTCTCTCAAAATAGCTCCTTTAGTTGCCACATATGTGGTCAAAGAGCCAACACAAAGTTTCAACCAATTGTGAGCAAATGAAGATGCAGTTATGCATCATGATTCTGTTTCTTTTGTCCATAAACAAGAGTGGATTTGTCCATGGTGTTTTCTCTAATTCTAAACAAAAAATTTTAACAGAGCACTAAACTTTATTTGGCTAGTAACAAAGACTTACTCTCCCTTAATTAATACCACCCCATCTATACTTTTCTTTTTTATTCCCAGTCTCCTTTATTTTGAAGCCTGATCATTTGGTAGCTCCACAAAATGGACCCGAAGAAGTGAGCCTCATGCAGATGGATGATTGCAGTGACTTATCCAAGGTGTCTTAGGAGGTAGATGGTAGCTGTCAGTCAATATTCCTAATGCTACTCCAGTGCTCTGCTCACTAAACCACACTGTACGTAGCTACACTATTTGTAGTTTTAACATATTTGAACTACTTGATCCTTGATATTAAAAACATGTTCTTTTTCAGATTCTGTGTCCAGCTATGCCCAGAATATTTGTAAACTCAGAATCTTGAGGCAACATTTTATAAAATATTTTACAGTGTATTATCATTTTATATTTAATTGCCTCTGGGCATGATACCTAGAAAAATGAAGCATGTTATAGGGAAAGTAATGTATGAGTAAATACTAAATATTTGGAGGAACTAGTAAAGAAAGGTGAGAAAAGAAAATGGTATCAGTTTTCTTTATATGTGTGGGTGTGTGTGTCTTACAAATCAGCAGAACAAAGCAACTTGGGATATATGTTCTTGGAATATATTTTTTTTCTCTCAGAAAATATTCTACTAATAGATGTACATGCTTTTGTGAAATCCATCTAGCTAAATGGGACAGGATTCCAGATTCTGTAATGCCCATGCAGGGTCTCAGGACTAGAGAATGATAATATATACAATTGTTGTCAATTGCGGTTGAACTTTAGAATTTTCAGAATAAATTCAAAGGAATTTTTAAAAATTTCAGTGTTTGAACTTTTGCAGTGAAACATAGACATTAGTATTTCCAGAAAGCTTCCTAGAGGATTCTGTTGCACAGTAAAGGTTAAGAACCACTGCGATAGGCAATATCTCTGTTTGGTAAAGGATATATCCTATACTACAATACAACCAATGATTGCTGCTAGCAGAGGGCCTGCTATGTCTTACAAAAAAGCCTAAAGATGCATAAAAGATTTAAAAGCCTCCTACTGTAGAGGAGGGCTGCCAGGCCTGTGCTACATTCCAATCAGGAAGGGTGCAGGAGCCACTCAATGGAGCCTAATCCTAAACAGCTGGCTAGTACAGTAATTTCACTGAGAAGCTGTAGTTCTTCATTTTGAAAGCCATTTGATCTGGCAACTCAGACAAGTTTTAGGGAAAGGCCCTTGAAATAACATTGATGGCTAATGAAGTGCTTTCTCAAGTTCAAAAGCAAAGCAAAGCTAACAGGCTCTAATTTTTTTTCTGAACAAATCTATACATGTATTTCTCCTTTCCTAATTAATTTTCATGTGCAGCTCATCTCCCAACAAAATGCTAAAGCTGAAGAGTCCTGAATAATATGTTTCCATATACATTCCTTTGATACTTGTCTCATGTGTACCCACAGGATTCTAATTTATGGAGGTGACTGACTGATGACACGTGGGAAGGTCAATGGCATTGAAAGAAGAATGTATCACTTACAGTTCCCAAGAGAAAGGGACATACTACACCATGCATGGTCATGGATAAAAATGCCAGATTTGGGCCGGGCAGGGTGGCTTACGACTGTAATCCCAGCACTTTGGGAGGCCGAGGCGGGTGGATCACGAGGTCAGGAGATCGCGACCATCCTGGCTAATATGGTGAAACCCCATCTCTACTAAAAATACAAAAATTAACCGGGCGTGGTGTCGGCCGCCTGTAGTCGCAGCTACTCGGGAGGCTGAGGCAGGAGAATGGCGTGAACCCGGGAGGCGGAGCTTGTAGTGAGCCGCGATCGCGCCACTACACTCCAGCCTGGGCGACAGAGTGAGACTCCGTCTCAAAAACAAACAAACAAACAAAGCCAGATTTGTGTTTGTTTTTGTTTGGATGCAGAAGCAGGAGTGATGGTGAAGTCTAGCCAGAGCCTTTATTGGGTTCCTGTAGTTTAGGCAAGGCAGGGCGGCAGTGTACCTAGCTCAGGGCTGGCTAGTGTGGATAGTTCCAGTGGGCTCTGGGCTATAGGGGTGGTCTCCAATTGCCTGATAGCTGGCCCTGGGAGGACTCGGAGCAGGTTTGGTGTATAAGAGTTAGATAAGGAGATGGTTGGGGATATGGACCCAACATTGGGTGGTTTGTACACAAACGATGTGCTCCAGGCCAAGCCCTTTACTTTCTCTCAGAATCGGAAGCCCTGAGAAGGGCAGTCTCTCCGCAGCCAACAAAACTTTTAAGATGTCAAAACATCACAAAGTACAGAAAATAAGAGACAATTAATACAATGCTTCCATCTGGACAAATAAGTTGTGTGAGTTGGAGGGTGCTGGGGCATCAGACGGTCATGTAGGGGTCAAAGTTTCCTTCAGCCTCCCAGTGCTGCTTGTCAGTGACCAGGGTCAGCAGGTGGCCACTGGTGACCAAGGACATGGCAGAGACAGTTCTCTTTCAGTCTCCAGGTGAGTGAGCAGATGAAGTGATGATAAAGTCTCAAAGTCTGATTGTTATGTTTTGAAAAACAGGGGCCAGGTGCAGTGGCTCACGCCTGTAATCCCAGCACTTTGGGAAGCTGAGGCAGGCAGATCACCTGAGGTTAGGAGTTCAAGACCAGCCTGGCCAACAAGATAAAACCCCATCTCTACTAAAAATACAAAAATTAGCCAGGAGTGGAGGCGAGCACCTGTAATCCCAGCTAATAGGGAGGCTGAGGCAGGAGAATCGCTTGAACCTGGGAGGTGAAGGTTGCAGTGAGCTGAGATCATGCCACTGTACTCCAGCCTGGGCGACAGAGTGAGACTATGTCTCCAAAAAAAGAAAAAGAAAGAAAAACAGGAGAGCGTTCTTTATTCTCTGGTCCTATTTATGAGGTTTCCCCTATACATTCTTAAAACTTCGTTGATACACTGATGTGAAATTAATAACCTTAGCAAAGAATAATAAAACACGTTTTTCTTTTTTTTTTCGTATAGCAGAAAAAGAATGCCAGACACAGCTGAAATCTTTCAGGTTTTATACACTATTTGTAGCTTTAATATATTTGGTTGAAGTATTTGATCTTTTACATTAAAAACATGTTCTTTTTCAGATTCTTTATCCAGCTATGCCCAGAATATTTGTAGACTCAGAATTTTGAGGCAATATTTTTATTAGATATTTTACAGTGTATTATCATTTTATATTTAATTGTCTCTGGGCATGGTATCTAGAAAAATGAAGCATGTTATAGGGAAAGTAAGTTATGACTAAATATTAAGTATTTGGAGGAACCAGTAAAGAAGGGTGAGGAAAGAAAATGGTGTCAGTTTCTTTGTGTGTGTGTGTGTGTGTGTGTGTGCATGCACGTGTGTGTGTCTTAGGAATCATCAGAAGGAAGCAACTATAACATTTCTTTGAGTTAAAATATATGTTGACACAAAATAAAGACTTATTTGCAAAGGAGACTCATACCCCATAAAAGTCCAAAGTTTAACATGAGTTAGAGTAAGTGGAGTAATGCATATCCCTCATGTTGTTTCATTTATGTGACTCAAAACTTTCTCTTTAGCCACTGGTATACTCAGCCCAAATGAGATTACTTCAGAATGGCTGACAAGTCCGCTGGTAGGAGAAGGGTAAATAAGAACTGTTAACAGTTAGGCAGAGTCAATTAATTCATTTTCCCCACTAGCTATTGGGTGGGATGTTTGCATGGCACTTATATGCAGAAGGTGTAAAGACTTCTCAGTTTTTGAAAATTATTACATCCAGCTAAAATTTTCTATAGCCTCGCTTTGATGAAGATACTATTGGAAACCTGCTAAATAATTTTCTTATTTATATTTAAATAGTACTTGTTGGTAAAAAAAAATCGCAGTGGCTCACGCCTGTAATCTCAGCACTTTGGGAGGCTGAGGTAGTTGGATCACGAGGTCAGGAGTTCGAGACCAGCCTGACCAACATGGTGAAACCCTGTCTCACTAAAAATGCAAAAATTAGCCGGGCATGGTGGTACGTGCCCGTAATCCCAGCTATTCAGGAGGCAGAAGTTGCAGTAAGCTAAGATTGTACCACTGCACTCCAGCCTGGGTGACAGTATAAGACTCTGTCTCAAAAAAAAAAAAAAAAATAACAAAGAGGAAATTTGTTTTTTTCTTTCTGATTTCCAAATGTTTATAGTTTTAAAAGGTGACAATTCGCCTTATCTATCTTCCACTGGAGGATTAAAGGAAGAGTTTTATTGATTTGTTTTAAGGACATCTAGTTTAGTTTTTTTTCATTAAATATTAATAATTTGCCATATTTGATTTCATGAATCATTCACTTCTGTCAATATTCTATATACGCAAATTAACTTTGTTGAGTTTAATCCCACCTGCATTATCTATATTCCCTGAGACTAATTTTTCTAGGGTCTGTGTATGATTTATTATTATTGCTGAATTTATTTTATATTTTTGTGAGGTACAAGGTTGAACTGTGAATGGGGGTAGATAAAATCTTTTTTTTTTTTTTTTGGCAGAATTTTTTTTAGTCTTCAGGCTCCATGAATAAGCAACTTCCAAACCACATAGTGGTATTGCTTAGTTTAACTTTGCTATTGTCCATAGTAATCTTCAGGAGACATGTAGAAGGCTGTGCCATGCTTACTGTGGTGGGAAGTTAAGCATAGGTGGCTAATGTTCTCTGCTATTTGGTAATGGGAATGAAAGGAGCTTCAGTGTAATATGCTACCAGGCATTTTTTCATGGATGACTCAAATTCTAAATGACTGATCTTTAATGCCACACTTTAGATAATACCAAACTGTTGTAGAAAGATGACAACCATTCTAAATCGAGGTTATGGTTAGATTATCCATGTGTATTTGGGGGCCTCTTCAGAGTAGAAGATTGTTTTCAGTACTATTGAGTGCAGATGAGGAGGCGGGGCTCATGAACTGTGTCTAGTAAGCATTCACTGAGGGCTATTCCATGGCAGAAACTTTGCTGAGCATTGGTAATTACCCATGGGGTAGCACAATCCTTGCTTTCAATAAATGTGTAGTCTGTATGTACACATATATATATATACACACACACACATATATGTATATAAAATAAGTACCATGCAGTATAGTATGTACTATAAAATGCAGGGTACAGTGCAAATATTAAATAGAATGGCTGAAGCAGTTTTTGAGCCTACAAATCTGAAAAATCAGCAAAAATATATATCAATTCCCTAAAACTTAGAATGCAACATACAAGTAGGCACAAACATCATCAAATAAAAGCTAATGATCATTGTACCAGGCACAGGACTGAGTCATTTCCATGCATTATCTAATTCCATGAAAACCAGAGGAGGTAAACAGTATAATTATTTATTATTTATATGTGAGGAAACTGAGGCTTATTGAGATGAAATATCTTGCTCCAGATCGGTGCTACTCAAAGTGGTCCCAAAAATGATGCTGGTTAGTGAACTGTCACTAACTGATCCATAATGGTCACTGATCCATAATGAGTTAGTGTTAGAAACATTTGTGATTGTTGAATTGAATAATAAAAAAAATGCTTGCATTTTGTGTGTCTTTTTAAAAAAGCTTGTGGGAAAATATATATAAAATGTATCATTTTAACAATTTCTTAGAGTACAATTCAGTGACATTAAGAATGCTTACAATGTTATACAACTATTACCACCTTCTATTTACAGAATATTTTCATTGTCTCAAATAGAAATTCTCCACCCACTGACTCCCCATTTTCCCTTTTCTTCAGCCACTGGCAACTTCTGATCTACTTTCTTTCTCATGAATTTGCCTATTCTAGGTATTTAATATAAATGGAGTCATATAATATTTGTCATTTTGCATCTGGCTTATTTCATTTAATGTAATTTTTCAGGGTTCATCCATATTGTTGCATGTCAGAACTTCATTCTTTTTATTGCCGAATAATACTCCATATAGAGTGCACTTTGGTTATTCATGTATCTGTTGATGGACATGTGATATTTCTACCTTTTGGCTATTGTGAATAATCCCATTAGGAACACTGGCATACAAGTAACTGCTTGAGTCCTTGTTTACAATTTTGTTGGGTATGTATCAAGGAGTGGATTATTGGCTTATACAGTAATTCTATATTTAACAGTTTTAGAAACCAGCAAATTGTCTTCCACAGTGGCCACACAATTTTGCATTACTACCAGCAGTATACAAAGGTTCCAAGTTCTCCACATCCTCACCAACACTAGTTCTTTCTATGGTTTTTATTATAACCATACATGTTGGTATGAAGTGATACCTCATTGTGGTTTTGATTTTCATTTCCCTAATGACTAACGATTTTGAGCATCCTTCAATGTGCTCCTTAGCCATTTTTTTTTTTTTTTTTGAGAAGGAGTCTCGCTGTCGCCCAGGCTGGAGTGCAGTGGCGACATATCGGCTCACTGAAGGCTCCGCCCCCCCGGGTTCATGCCATTCTCCTGCCTCAGCCTCCCGAGTAGCTGGGACTACAGGAGCCCGCCACCTCGCCTGGCTAATTTTTTGTATTTTTTTAGTAGAGACGGGATTTCAGCTTATTAGCCAGGATGGTCTCGATCTCCTGACCTCGTGATCTGCCCGCCTCGGCCTCCCAAAGTGCTGGGATTACAGGCGTGAGCCACCGCGCCCGGCCGCTCCTTAGCCATTTGTATCAAGTTATTTGCCATTTTTTACTTTTTTTGTATTTTGTGGTTGACTTACAGTTCATATGTATTTTGGATATTAACCCCTTATCAGATATGTGACATGCAATTATTTTCTCCCATTGTGTGGATTGTACTTCACTATCTTTATAGTGTCTTTCCATAGATAAAATTTTTTAATTTTGATGAAATTTAATTTATCTTTTTTGTTGTTGTTGCCTGTTTTTAATATCATATTTTAAAAACATTGCTAAATCCATGATCATGACGATTTGCCCCAGTTTTCTTCTGAGTTAATAATTTGTGCTCTCAAATATAGGTCTCTGATCCATATTGAATTAGTATCTGTGTATGGTATAAGGTAAGAGTCCAACTTTATTTTCTTGCGTGTAAAGATTCAGTTGTCTCAGCACCATTTGTTGAAAAGACTGTTCTGTAGGATCTTGGCATCATTGTCACAAATCAATTGGCCATGGATTTGAGGGTTTATTTCTGGGCCCTCAATTCTATTCCATTGGTTTATGGGTCCATCCCTATGCCAGTACCACATTGCTTTTTTAAGTTATAGCTTTATATTAAGTTTTGAAATCAGAAAATTTGAGACCTCCTATTTTGTTCTATTACAAAATTGTTTTAGCTGTTCAGGGTCCCTTGAAATTCTATATAAATTTTAGAATGGGTTTCTTTATTTCTACCAAAAATGCTGTTGGAATTTAGATAGGGATTGCATTAAATCTGTCAATTATTTGAGTAATATTGTCATCTTCACATTATTAAGCTGTAGGAGTTTATATATATTCTGGATATTAACCCCTTTTCAGATATATGAACAAAATCATGATATATGATTCTGATTCATGAATCAGGTTTCAGTCTTCCAATTATTTAAGCCTTCTTTAATATCTTTCAACAATGGTTTATAGTTTTCAGTATACAAGTCTTATGCCTCCTTTGTTAAATGTATTCCTAAGTATTTTATTTTTATTAGGTTATTGTGAGTGCAATCATTTTTTATCTCCATTCAATTTATTGTATATAGGAATCCGACTAAATTAGTTGTGTAATAATTTAATATCTTGAAATTTTATGTGTTCATGTATTGGTTTTGACAGCTTTGTGTGTATGTATGTACATATGTGTGTATTCTTTACAGTTTTTTACATATAAGATTGACTTCCAATTTGGATATTTTTACTTCTCTTTCCTGCATATTTGCTCTGACTGCAAATATTATTTGAGAAAAATCCCAATTGGTCATAGTGTATAATCCTTTCAATAATCTGTGAATTCAGTTTATTATTTTGAGGACTTTTGCATCTATATTCATAGGAATAATGGTCTGTAGTTTTCTTTTCTTGTTAAGGCTTTGTCTGTATTAGGATAGTGCTATTTTCACAGAAGGAGTTAGGATGTGTTTCCTCCTCTTCTATTTTTGGAAACGTTTGAGGATTGGTGTTAACTCTTCTTTAATTGTTTGGTACAATTCACCAATAAAACCTTCTGGTCTTGAGTTTTTCTTTGTTAAGAGGTTTTTGGTCATTGATTAAATCTCTTTATTTACTTTAGGTCTATTCATATACCCTATTCTTCCTGAGTAGGTTATGGTGGTTTATGGTTCGTTTCTACCTTAATTTATTTCTCATTTCCATTGTGATTTCTTCTCTGATCTAATGTTAAGAGTGTGTTTTTTAAATTTCCACATATTTGTGAGTTTTTCAAAAGTTTTCTTTCTGTTATTGATGGTAGTTTCATTGCACAGCAGTCAGAAAAAAACTTTGTATGATTTCAATCTTTTTAAATTTATTTAGTTGTTTTGTGGACTAACATACGATCTATCTTAAAGAATGTTCCATGTGCATTTGAGAAAAACGTATACTCTGCTACTGTTGAGTGAAGTGCTCTCCCGAGTTTTAGATACAATTGGTCTATGTGTTGTTTAAGTCCTGTACCCTTATTAATCTTCTGTCTGGTTATCCTATTCACTATTGAAAATGGAGTAATGAAGTCTCCAGATATTATTGTAAAACTATCCCTTCAATTTTGTCAATTTTCAATTCTTATGTTTAGGGGGTGTTGTCATTAGATGCGTATGTAATTGTTATATTTTCTTGAGGTAGGGCACTTTTTATCAATATATAATGTCTTTATTTGACTCTTGTAAACTTTTTGATTTGAATTCTATTTTGTATGATAGTAATTTAGCCACCCAACTCTCTTTTGGATGCAATTTGCATGAAATATATTTGTCCATTGTTTTCATTCAAAATTTTCATGTTTTTGTATTTGAAATGACTCTTTTGCAAACAATATGTAGATGGATCTTTTTTTTGATCATTCTGCCAATTTCTGCCTCATAAGTAGCAAAACTTGTAGAACCTAGTTTTAATAATAAATCAATTTATAACCAACTTAGTTTCAATAGTATAGAAACATTCTTCTTCTATCCATTTTTTTCTTTCTTTCTTTCTTTCTTTCTTTCTTTCTTTCTTTCTTTCTTTCTTTCTCTCTCTCTCTCTCTCTCTCTCTCTTTCTTTCTTTCTTTCTTTCTTTTTTCTTCTTCTTTTTTTTGACAGAGTCTTGCTCTGTTGGCCAGGCTGGAATGCAGTGGCACGATCTCAGCTCATTGCAACCTCTGCCTCCTGGGTTCAAGTGATTCTCCTGCCTCAGTCTCCCGAGTAGCTGGGATTACAGGCACCCACCATCACCCCAGGCTAAGTTTTGTATTTTTAGTAGAGATGTCGTTTCACCATGTTGGCCAGCTGGTCTTGAACTCCTGATTTCGTGATCCGTCCACCTTGGCCTCCCAAAGTGCTGGGATTACAGGCATGAGCCACTGTGCCCAGCCCCATCTCCTTTCCTCCCCTCTATATTGTTATTGTCACAGATTATGTCGTTATATATTGGCTACTCATTAACATGGATTTATAATTATTGTTTTATGCATTTGCACTTTAAATCATATAGGAAAAAAGTGCAAACCAAAAGTGCAATAATAGTGGCTCTTATATGTGGTTACTTTTACCGGTGTTCTTTATTTCCTCTAATGGCTTTGAGTTCCTGCTGGTGTTCTTTCATTTCAGCCTGAAGAACTCCTGTTAGCATTTCTTGTAGGGAAAATCTGCTGGCCTGTTTAGCCAGCCTGACAGAGAAGAATGGGCTGTTCCACAAACCATTTCCTTTTCCTCCCGGCCACTCAGCTAGATTCCCCTTGCCAGCCTCTTTTGCATGTGTTAGATAAAATAGTAGAATGTTAGTGGTATATGCATGGCCAATCAGACCTCCCACATGATTCTTGATCTCTGCTGCATGGAGGCTGAGGATGATCTTGGCAGCCACACGTGGAAGATAGAAGAATCTCTGCCAGTCTGAGTCACTGGATAGCTTCATGGGAACTGGACATTTTCTAACTGCCCCTCCCCATATAATCCTTATTGGATGTTATTTTGTTAACATTTGTTGACACTTAAATTTTTATTGTTATATTTTTGAGTTCTGGGAGTTTTCATTATAGCAGGTAGCATTACCTTTACTATTCATACAGCCATTTCACTCATTTATTCAATGGCTCATGTTTTTCCTGATTTCCAATTTCAGAGCTTCGAACATATAGCCTTATGTGACTTCTCTGAACTTCCTAACCCTTATCCAGGCTTTTGTCAAATTCAACTGATTTCCCAGCATGAAATTGTTCTTTTTCAATGGCTATCATTTAAGTCTACCAATAAATATTAAGTCACTCAGTAAATATGTAAGCATTTGCATGTTACTCCAGGTTTTGTGCAGAGGTTATACGGATTAAGTATGAAAGACATGCTTTCAAGCTAGAAGCTGCTGAGCCCACAACAGTGTTTTAACTAAACTTTCTCTTCTGGGTCATCCAGGCCATTATATGCACCTTTCCAAATAAATCTTTCTTATATTCTTTATTTTGTATGTTCCTATCACTCATCAGATACAACCCAAGTCTCCTGGCTTAAGGCCAAGCCCCTCCCCATATTTATTAATCATACATTTTCTCCCAGACTCCATCACAATACTTTGAAATTCTTCATGACACTCTCCTTCTAGTTTTGACAGGAAAGAGCAGGAGTCACTATACTTATATTAGACAAAGTAGATTTCAAGACAAAAACTATAAGAAGAGATAAAGAAGGTCACTGTATAATAATAAAGGGGTCAATTCAGCAAGAAGATATAACAATTTTAAATATACCTGCACCCAATACAGGAGCACCAGATATATAAAAAAGATATTATTAGAGATAACAGCAGAGATAGGTCCCAATACCATAATAGCTGGAGACTTCGACACCCTACTTTCAGCATTGGACAGATCTTCCAAACAGAAAATCAACAAAGAAACTTCAGATTTAATCTGCACTATAGATCAAATGGATCTAACAGATATTTATAGAACATTTCATTCAAGAGCTGCAAAATATGCATTCTTTTCCTCAATGCATGGATCATTCTCAAGGATAGACCATATATTAGGTCACATAAAAAGTTTTAAAACATTAAAAAAATATAAATAATATCAAGCATCTTCTCTGACCACAGTGGAATAAAACTGGAAATTAATAACGAGGAATTTTGGAACCTGTACACATACATGGAAATTAAACAATATGCTCTAATGACCAGTGGGTCAGTGAAAAAATTAAGAAGGAAATTGAAAAATTTATTGAAACAAATGATAATGGAAACACAACATACCAAAACTTACGGGATACAGCAAAAGCAGTATTAAGTAGAAAGTTTATAGCTGTAAGTGCCAACATCACAAAACTGGAAAAACTTCAATTAAATAATCTAACAATGCATCTTTTAAAAAAATTTTCAATAGGTTTTGGGGGAACAGGTGGTGCTTGGTTACACCTAATGAGTTCTTTAGTGGTGATTTCTGAGATTTTGGTGCACCCATCACCCATCACACTATACACTATATGCAGTGTGTAGTCTTTTATCCCTCACCCACTCCCGCTCTTTCCCCCAGGTCCCCAAAGTTCTTTGTATCATTCTTATGCCTTTGCATCCTCATAGCTTAGCTCCCACATATCAGTGAGAACATACAATGTTTGGTTTTCCGTTTCTGAGTTACTTCACTTAGAATAATGGTCTCCAGTCCCATCCAGGTCACTGAAAATACCATTATTTCATTCATTTTTATGACTGAGTAGTATTCCATTTTATATATACACACATATATGTATATATACATATACATATATATATATCACAATTTATTTATTCACTCTCTGATTGATGGGCCTTTTGGCTGTTTCCATATTTTTGCAGTTGTGAATTGTGCTACTATAAACATGCGTGCACAAGTATCTTTTTCATATAATGACTTCTTCTACCTCACCCAGTAGTGGATTGCTGGATCAAATGGTAGTTCTACTTTTAGTTGTTTAAGGAATCTCTACACTGTTTTCCATAGTGGCTGTACTAGTTTACATTCCCACCAGCGGTGTAAACGTTTTTCCTGATCACCACATCCATGTCAATATCTATTATTTTTTGATTTTTTGATTATGGCCATTCTTGCAGCAGTAAGGTGGTATCAAATTGTGGTTTTGTTTTGCATTTCCCTGATCATTAGTGATGTTGAGCATTTTTTCATATGTTTATTGGCCATTTGTATATTTTCTTTTGAGAATTCATGTCCTTAGCCCACTTTTTGATGAGATTCTTTGTTTTCTTGCTGATTCTAACAATGCATCTTAAGGAACTAGGAAAGTGAGAGCAAATTAAACCCAGAATTAGAGAGAATAAAATAAATAATAAAGATCAGAGCAGAAATAAATGAAATTAAAATGAAGAAAACAATACAAAAGATCAATGAAACAAAAAGTTGGTTTTTTGAAAAGTTAAACAAAATTGAAAAATGTTTAGTCAGACTAAGAAAAAAGAGAGAGCAGATCCAAATAAATAAAATCAAAAATGAAAAAGCAGACATTATAACTGATACGGCCAACATTTAAAGGATCTTTAGTGGCTACTATGAGAAACTATATGCCAATAACTTTGGAAATCTAGAAGAAATGGCCAAATTCCTAGACACATACAACCTTCCAAGACTGAACCAGGAAGAAATCCAAACTCAACACAGACCAATCACAAGTAATGAGATTGAAGCCAGAATAAAAAGTCTTCCAGTAAAGAAAAGTCTAGGACCCGATGCCTTCACTGCTGAATTCTACCAAACATTTAAGAACTAATACCGATCCTACTTAAACTACTTCAAATACCAGGGGGAGGGAGCACTTCCAAACTTATTCTACAAGGCCAGTATTACCCTGATACCAAAACCAGACAAAGACACATCAAAACAAAAACAAAAACAAACAAGAAAAACTACAGGCCAATATCTCCAATGAATACTGATGCAAAAATCCTCAACTAGCAAAAATACTAAGAAACTGAATTCAACAATACATTAAAAAGATCATTCATCATGACCAAGTGGGATTTATTCCTGGGATGCAAGGATGGTTCAACCTATGCAAATCAATCAATGTGATACAATCAACAGAATGAAGGATAAAAACCATATGACCATTTCAGTTGACACCGAAAAGGCATTTGATAAAATTCAACATCCCTTTATGATAAAAATCCTCAAAAAACTGGGCATAATAGGAACATACCTCAACATAATAAAAGTCATATACAACAGACCCACAGTTAATAACTTACTGAATGGGAAAAACTGAACACCTTTCCTTTGAGACATGGAACATGTCATAGATGTCCACTGTCACCACTGTTATTCAACATAGTATTGCAAGTCCTAACTAGAGCAATCAGACAAAAGAAAGATATAAAGGACATCCAAATAGAAAAGGAAGAAGTCAAATTATCCTTGTTTGCTGATGATATGATCTTTTATTTGGAAAAAAAAACCTAGACTCCACAAGAAATTAGAACTGATAAGCAAATTCAGCAAAGTTGCAGGATACAAAATCAACATACAAAAATCAATAGCATTTTTGTATGACAACAGTGAATAATGTGGAAAAAGAAATTAAAAAGTAATCCTATTTACAATAGGCACATGTAAAATTAAATACCTGGGAATTAATTCAGTCAAAGAAATGAAAGATCTCTATAATGAAAACTATAATAACTGATAAAGGAAATTGAAGAGGACACCAAAAAATGGAAAAATTCATGAATTGGAAGAATCAATATTGTTTAAACATCCATAATACCCAAAACAATCTACAGATCAAATGCAATCCCTATCAAAATGCCAATGAAATTCTTCACAGAAATTTTTTAAAATCCTAAAATTTAAATGTAACCACAAAGGACCCAGAATAGCCGAAGCTGTCCTAAGCAAAAAGAACAAAACTGGAGGAATCACATCACCTGATTTCAAATTATACTATACAGCAATATTAACCAAAACAGCATCGTGCTGCCATAAAAACAGACACATAGGCCAATGTAACAAAATAGAGAACCTGGAAACAAATCCACATAGCTACAGTGAACTCATTTTTTAAAAAGGTGCCAAGAACATACTATGGAGAAAAAATAGCCTCTTCAATAAATGGTGCTGGGAAAGTTGGATATCCATATACAAAAGAATGAAACTAGAACCCCATCTCTCGCCATAATCAAATCAAAAGAGATTAAAAGCTTAAATCTAAGGCCTCAAACTATGAAACTACTACAAGGTAACATTAGGGAAAATCCCCAGGACATTGGTCTGGGCAAAGATTTGTTGAGCAATACCCCACAAGCACCAAAGCAACCAAAGCAAACATGGACAAATGGGATCACATCAAGTTAAAAAGCTTCTGCACAGTGAAGGATAAAATCAACAAAAGGGAGAGACAACCCACAGAATGGGAGAAAATGTTTGCAAACCAAGCTGTTGACAAGGGAATAATAAGCAGAATATATAAGAAGCTCAAACAACTCTACAGAAGAAACCTAATAAACCAAACAAAAAAATGTGCAAAATATTTGAAGAGACATTTCTCAAAGGAAGACATACAAATGGCAAAGAGGCAAATGAAAAGCTGCTGAACATCATTGATCATCAGAGAAATGCAAATTAAAACTAAAATGAGGTATCATCTCACTCCAGTTAAAATGGATTATATCCAAAAGACAGGCAATAACACATGCTGGCAAGGATGTGGAGCAAAGGGAACCCTCATACACAGTTGGTGGGAATACAAATTAGCATAACCACTATAGAGAACAGTTTGGAGGTTCCTAAAAAAACTGAAAATAGAGCTACCATATGACCCAGTGATCCCACTGCTGGGAATACCCCCAAAAGAAAGGAAATAAATATATTTAAGAAATATGTGCACTCCTATGTTTGTTGCAGCACTGTTTACCATAGCTAAGATTCGGTAGACACCTAAGTGCCCATCAACAGATGAATGGATAAAGAAAATGTGGTACTTATACACAATGGAGTGCTATTCAGCCATAAAAAAGAATGAGATCCAGACCGGCATGGTGGCTCATGCCTATAATCCCAGCACTTTGGGAGGCCAAGGTGGGTGGATCACGAGGTCAAGAGATTGAGACCATCCTGGCCAACATGATGAAACCCTGTCTCTACTAAAAATACAGAGATTAGCTGGGCGTGGTGGCACACCCTGTAGTCCCAGCTACTTGGGAGGCTGAGGCAGGAGAATGGCTTGAACCTGGGAGGCGGAGGTTGCAGTGAGCCAAGATTGCACCGCTGCACTCCAGCTTGGCAACAGAGCGAGACTTCATCTCAAAAAAAAAAAACAGAAAAAGAATGAGATCCAGTCATTTGTAACAACATGGATGGAACTGGAGATCATTATGTTAAGTGAAATTAGCCAGGCACAAGAACATTGCATGTTCTCACTTATTTGTGGGATCTATAAATCAAATAAACTGAACTCATGAACATAGAGAGTAGCAAGAAATTACCAGAGGCTGGGAAGGGTAGTAGAGGACTAAGGGAGAGGTGGGGATGGTTAATGGATACATAAAAAATAGAAAGAATGAGTAAGACTTACTATATGATAGCACAATGGGTGACTATAGTCAACAATAACTCAATTGTATATTTTTAAATAATTTCAAGAAGGTAATTAAATTGTTTGTAACTCAAAGGACAAAGGCTTGAGGAAATGGATACCCCATTCTTCACATTATATCCCTGTATCAGAACATCTTATGTACCCCATAAATATATACGTCTACTATGTGCCCACAAAACATTTTAAAAATAATTTAAAAATTTTTTAAAGAAAATAATTGTGAATAAATTTCACAATTACAATAATGATACTACCATTTAAAAATGTACAATACAGTTCTTTCACTGATCTCTTGGCTCATCATTTAAATAATTTTAATGATACAGTACTTCTTGAAACTCTAAAGGTACAAATGGGACATGCCCTATGCTCCCTACAAGTATGCAAGGTCAACTGTAAATGACAAAGAGGTAGCAAGAGTGTCAGCATCAGTGCACATAAATTCATATATCAAAGTATATTTTTCTTTCTTGTCTCTTAATTGATGCACTTAATGAACTCTTATGGACACTGCCCATTGCATAAAGTCAAAGATGGCTGGTTAGGTGATAATAAGTGTAAGCTATTATGTGAAGTTCAAAGGAAGTTGTATTGCACTGAAAGTGTTCCTCTGTGAAATCTATATTTTTATTTTATGTTTAGGAAAATTAAAAAGAAAAAAATGCACCACAGGAATCATTGTCATGACATGCTTTTCATATTCTTTTAAAAAACAATCCATCTGTTTTGGCTTCCAGAAAATCTGCCAAGAAATAAAGATGTTGTAATTAACTGTAATGAATATGTTAACAGGAAATATCCACTAAGCTAACACATCATCTTGTCATGCCCTAATGTAATGTACTCCTGGCATTAATGAGAAAGCATTCAAGGAAGGCAGATAAGCTTGAATGCACTTTTAACTGGTCATGCAGCAGTTTTTAACTGCTTGAATTTTGAGACCTTCTTTAAACTTAGACCAAAAGTGTTCTAAGGACTGTTGTTTGGCAGCTGCATTCCTGTAGCATACTATTGATAAAATAGACCAAAAAACATAGGATATTCTGTCCAGGGGATCTCAGTATTTGAATACTGGCTCGATTACCTACTAGTTATATGATAGGGTAAGTTATTTAAACTTTCTGAGGTTTAATGACCTCATTTGAACCATAGGGAAAGTAAAAGTTGTCTTAGAGGGTTTTGTGAAGATTACAAGCAATTAGTGTATGTGAAATGAAGACTCATTAGATCTATTCAGTAAATATTACTTTCCTTTTTCTATATAAGACTATTTATGCATATTTAACCATAGCACCAAATCAACACTCGGCGCAACTTAATATTTTTTTGACAGTATGGAGTTGAAAGGGACTATAGGGCTCTTCTTCCTGGGCAGCTCAGTGGTTCTGCTGTGCTCCCATATAAACAAATGACAATCTAAAAATTACACTAGGGACAATTATCTCTAACTATGTTGGGTTTACTCAGAAGTAAAAATAAGGATTATAATCTGAAATGCACGAAATGGCAAGCCACCAGTCCATTCAGTGAGAGGGTTGTATGGGGACCTTTCACCAGCTAAAAAGAGATTTACTAAGCTGCTTAGAATCAGAGTCCATTGGTTCCAGAGGTTCAAAGCCAGACTGGTTGTCAGTTCATTGGCGGAGATGCCCTTACTGGGCAAGTGTTCTAAGAAAATCTTATCTGAATACTGCAGTTCTAATGTCTAGTGATAAAGCTTATCCAAACAAAATATGCATGAAGGACATGAAAGAGTTTTTAGAAAGTCCTTGGTTCACATTTCAGACACATAAACATGAGTCTTCCCTCTTTTGGGCCTTCCCAGACCTATATTTTCTGGATCTGATGAAAGGGATTCCATCCTGGTATATGCAACTTTCACGCAGACGTTAGAAACCAATACAGTGCAGGTGTTATGAGCCTTTGTTACCACTGAGGGCAGCATGTGGATCCCACAGGTAGGGCACTGTAGTGGTTTGCTATTGTGAATAACTAATTGTCATAAATTCAGTGCTTATAAAAACACTCATTTAATTTCCTGTTTCTATGGGTCAGGAATGGGCCTGGCTTGATTGGGTCATCTGCTCAGGGTCTCCCAAAGCTGCAGTGAAGGTGTCAGCTGCACTGTCGTCCTTGCCTAGAGTGTGGGGTCTTCCTCCAAGCTCATTTTCATGTTGGTGGACTTAAGTTCTTTGTGGTGATACAATTGAGGCTTTCAGCCTAGACAAAGCCCCTCTCCATAGGTGGTTTATACCATGGCTGTTTGCTTTCTTCTCTGAGGCCCCCAGGAGAGTGTGTCTTGGATGCTTCACCTTCTCTCAAAGGCTCCTTTCATTATGCCAGTGTTATCCAGGATTATACTGCTTTTGAACTCAAAGCTAATTGATTATTGGTTAAATCATAATACTGATACTCCAATATAGTCCATTCCACACTCAAGGCGAGGGGATTCTCAGTACATGTGCAAGACAGGCACACATCTTGGAATTCTGCCCACTACAGTCATGTGGCCAGGGCCAGTGAGACATCTTCAGAAAAAAGGCAATCTTCAAAGTGATCTTAGGCTGTGATTCTCAAAGAAGATCTGTGCTTTTTGCTGATAAACTACATTTAATCTGAAACGGCCACAGCATTCTCAGTGTTAGTTGACTGGTGGCTATAGACGCTGGAATTACCAGACTGACTGATTTGATATGCAACCATCAGGAGCAAAATTTTCATTTTGAGTAAAGTTTAAAGAGCTGAGCTAGAGGAGAAAAATCTGTACACCAGATATACTCTTAGACATTCGCTATATATGATTTGATTTTAAATCCACCACCATCTGAGACTGGTTTTATTTAAGAGGAGGAAATCAAATCTCAGAGGGAGTGACTTATCAAAGGCCATGCAGCAAGTTAGTCAATGTGAGAGATGGGGTTTGAACATGTGTCCTCTTTCCTCAGCCCAGGATTTTCCAAGATAACATCTACTTTTCCTGTTAACAGCAGGGTTAGCTGCACATAGAATAATTTTTTTTTTGCATGCATGCTTCTTACTATAGACATTGAT
This sequence comes from Homo sapiens, assembly GCF_000001405.40. Taxonomy (NCBI): domain Eukaryota; kingdom Metazoa; phylum Chordata; class Mammalia; order Primates; family Hominidae; genus Homo; species Homo sapiens. The sequence goes on from NW_017852931.1 coordinate 92,514, forward strand.
CGTTCTTCAAAGTACTCTTCAGCTCTTCATGCACATGTAAAGTGCACAAAAGAAAAATAAGATAGTTAAGCAGGAAACATTCCCTCTGAAAACCGGCACAATACTATAGTATTGCACAACATAGTATTGCACAACATGGTATTGCAAGTTCTGGCCAGGGAAATCAGGCTACAGAAAGAAATAAAAGGTATTCAAATAGGAAGAGAGGAAGTCAAATTGTTTCTGTTTGCAGGCAACACGGTCTTATATCTAGAAAACCCCCTCATCTCAGTCCGAAAGCTCCTTAAACTGATAAGCAACTTCAGCAAAGTCTCAGGACACAAAATCCATGTGCAAAAATCACAATCCTTCCTATACACCAACAATAGACAAGCAGAGAGCCAAATCATGAATGAACTCCCATTCACAATTGCTACAAAGAGAATAAAATGCCTAGGAATACAGCTAACAAAGAGGACATGAAGGACCTCTGCAAATGGAACTACAAACACTGCTCGAGGAAATAAGAGAAGACTCAGACAAATGGAAAAACGTTCCATGCTCATGGATAGGAAGACTCAATATAGTAAAAATGGCCATATTGCCTAAAGTAATTTATACGTTCAATGCTATTCCCGTAAAACTACCATTGACATTCTTCACAGAATTAGAAAAAACTACTTTAAAATTCATATAGAACAAAAAAGAGCCTGTATAGCCAAGACAATCCTAAGCAAAAAGAACAAAGCTGAAGGCATACTGTTATCCCACTTCAAACTGTACTACAAGGCTACAGTAACCAAAACAGCATGGTGCTGGTACAAAAACAGACACATAGACAAATGGAACAGAATAGAGCTCTCAGAAATAAGACCGCACATCTACAACCAACTGATCTTCCACAAACCTGGTGCAAACAAGCAATGGGAAAAGGATTCCCTAGTTAATGAATGGCTAGCCATATGCAGAAAATTGAAACTGGACCTCTTCCTTACACCTTATACAAAAATTAACTCGAGATGGATTAAAGACTTAAATGTAAAACCCAAAAGCATGAAAAACCCTAGAAGAAAATCTAGGCAATACCATTCAGGACATAAGCATGGGAAAAGATTTCTTGACTAAAACATCAAAAGCAATTGCAAGAAAAGCAAAAATTGACAAATGGGATCTAATTAAACTAAAGAGCTTCTGCACAGCAAAAGAAACTGTCATCAGAGTGAACAGAAAACCTATGGAACGGGAAAAAATTTTTGCAATCGATCTGCCTCACAGAGGTCTAATATCCAGAATCTACAAGGAATTTAAACAAATTTACAAGAAAAAACAACCCCATCAAAAAGTGGGCAAAGGATATAAACAGACACTTCTCAAAAGAAGACATTCATGCAACTAACAAACATATGAAAAAAGCTCAACATCACTGACTCTTAGAGAAATGTAAATCAAAACCACAATGAGATACCATCTCACGCCAGTCAGAATGGCCATTATTAAAAAGTCAAGAAACCACAGAAGCTGGTGAGGCTATGGAGAAATAGGAACACTTTTACACTGTTGGTGGGAATGTAAATTCATTCAACCATTCTGGAAGACAGTGTGGTGATTCCTCAAGGATCTAGAACCAAAAATACCATTTGACCCAGCAATCCCTTTACTAGGTATATACCCAAGAGAATATAAATCATTCCATTATAAAGATACATGCACACATATGTTTACTGCAGCACTATTCACAATAGCAAAGACATGGAATCAACCCAAATGGCCATCAAGGATAGGGTAGATAAAGAAAACATGCTATATATACACCATGGAATACTGTGCAGCTATAAAAAGGAATGAGATCATGTCCTTTGCAGGAACATGGATGAAGCTGGAAGTCATTACCCTCAGCAAACTAACACAGGAACAGAAAACCAAACATAGCATGTTCTCACTCCTAAGCGGGAGGTGAACATTGAGAACCCATGGTCACAGGGAGGGGAACAACACACACTGGGGCCTGTCAGGGAGATCATCAGGATAAATAGCTAATGCATGAGGGGCTTAATACCTAGGTGATGGGTTGATAGATGCAGCAAACCACCATGGCACATATTTACCTAGTTAACAAACCTGCACATTCTACACATGTATCCTGGAATATAAAATTAAATGTATAAAAAAAAAAGATAACATAGTCACACTGAACTTCAGTATCTTGAGAGAACACCAGCATGATCGTTTTTGATTTTTTAAAAAAAATCAGGAAAAAGATTATTCTAGAAGTAGTCACTCTTGGTTAGGAGGATAAAATTATACTGCCTTCTTCAGAACTAAGATTTATAGATTTGAGTTAGCTACAAATGTCATCGATGAAATATTTATTTGGGCTTTTTAACTTCAAAACTGAGTCTGTCACAGTTAATCCTGTAATTAGAATTTACACAGGATCACTATTTTTTATTTGATTAAAATTGCCTTTTTTGTATGTCCTCAAGTTCTGCTTTACTTCCACATTATTATGCCACAGAAAATGGCTTTGCTGGGGTTTTTCCAGAGTTTTAGGAGTCTAAACTTACAAACCACGTAATGATAAAAATAATTGTTTAGTAATTAAGACATGGAATGTAATATGAAACTTAGTAAAGAAACGACTGAGTATAAAAAGCCAATAGTTTTTTGGGGGTAAAATTATTCACACAAAGTAAGAGACCGTGGATATATGCACCTCCAAATGATGTAGGAAAAACTTTCACCCAGTGAAAAAGCGAAGTGAAAAGAATGCATTAAGGTTTTTTTCTGAGCTCTAGATGTGTGAATGGAGGGGGTAGGGATATGGGGGCCCCCCTCTTTGGAATCAGAAACTATTGGCTTGCTTCTCCAGGAATTTGAGGATTGTTATTTATACTGCCTGTGGATTCAGAAACAAGCAAGCCAAGAAACTATCATACAGATTTCACTTGGGCTGGTGATATGCCCAGATTTACAAGCAAAACTGCTTTTGGAGGTTGTTAATAGGCAGAATTATGTCCTCAATCGAAATGCATATGTTGAAGTCATATACTCCCCAGTACCTCAGAATGAGACCTTATTTGGAGATCAGGTCTTTATAGAGGTAGCTCAATTAAAATGAGGTCGTTAGGATGGGCTCTAATTCAACATGACTGGTGTCCTTGTAAGAGGATATTTGGACACAGACAACACATAGAGAAAAGATTGTATGAAGGCACAGGGAGAAGACCGCCATCTACAAGCCAAGGAGAGAGGCCTCAGAAGAAAACAACTCTGCCAACACCTTAATTTCAGACTCTGGCCCTCAGATTATAAGACATAGACGTCTGTGTTTAAGCCACCTGCTCTGTGGTACCTTGTAATGGCAGCCCCAGCAGACTAATACGGGGGTTGATTCCACAACACAAACCACAGTGGGTTCTCACAGAAAAATATAGCCTTACTAATTTTCATATCTCAATTTACAAAATATACAACAAATGAGGGAATGATCTACCATGAATGAGAGCATTATTAGAACTTTGAGAAATTAAAAAATTAGAATAGCAATCGGAAGTAGAACATAATATAAGCATGTTTAAAATGGTTAAGATGTAAATGAAGGCACTGGTATATTAAGAAAAGATTAACATACTATGAAAAACAAATAGGCATAAATTTAGCAATGAAAGAATTTGTAGAAACTAAAAACGTAGTCTTTGAAATTAAGAAAACAAATGGATCAATTAAATGGCAAATTAGAGATGGCAAAAAATTAAAGCTTAAAGATAAGTACGTGAAAATTATACAGCTTTTAGTATCAAGGGGTAATAAATGAAAACTGTAAAAGTGATGTTAAGAGACATGGGTGATAGAATGAGAAGAACCCGTATACATCAGAAATGCTGGAAGGGGAAAATAGAAGGAATGGAGGAGAAACTATAGTCAAAAAGTAATGACTGAAATGTTCTATATGGTTCAGATTCATAAAGTGAAATATGAAATGTCTCCTGAGCAGAATACATAAAAAAATACAATGACACCCAGCACAGTGTAATGTGGTTGCAAAATATCAATGACATAGATAACATCTTGGAAGCAACTAAAGATAAATGATGATACAATGACTAGATTTACATTAATCTTCTCAACAGCAATAATAGAGGTCAGAAGACAACAGAATAATATTGTTACATTTCTGAGGGAAAACTGCAGTGAAATGAAAATTTTAATGACATTAACTAAAATAATTTATTCAGAATTTTTAGCTTTCTTGTTGACTTTATGAAAATTAGACATTCCATGAAATCTGTATCTCTTTTGATACATCTCAATTTTTTTAAAAGCTGGTTTTGTAATAAACTCCATATAGCTTACCTTCTGTCACTAAGGATGGTAATCACCTCTATTTAGTACTCATTTGAGGAGGTGTTGATGTGGTTGAAGAGCAAAGTGGTAACTTCTATCTTCTAGTCTTCAAGGAGCTTTCTTCCTTTGGACAATTTATTCAGCCTCTCAGATATTGTAAAAGAAAGAACTGCAGGGTCATATACAGACAAACACAAACTTTCGCATCAGACAGACCTCAATGTCAAGCCAGCTTGCCCACTGACTTGCTGACATGTCTTTTGTGTTTAATAAATACTTGTTAGTGGGAGTTACTTAGTCTCTCCAAGGCTCAGTTACCTAATCTGGAATATGGGAGTGGCAATACCTGGCTCAACTGGTTGTGAAAGGATCATTGAGATGTTCTATGTGATTTGGTTCCTGTTGCGCTCATCACAAAGAAAGCAGAAAATCAAGCAGCTGGTGCTCTTCAAATCTCTAACATCCCTTCTAGTTCTAACATTCTCAGAATTCATGATTTGATTTCATAAGAGTAAACCAATTTTTAGGAAATGTGGAAGGTAAGTGCTTTTTGTTTTTGTTTTGTTTTTATTGTTTTTTCAGTTCCATGGATCTTTATTTGACCAAGACATTGCAGTAAACTCATAAACATAAAATGGAGGGTTCTATTTTTTCTTGGAAGCTTTTACTTAATTACAGTAGATGCAAAGGCTGACCCCTTGTGGCAAAGAGTGGTGGCTACAGGCTATAACTCTTTGCTAGGACTACTTCAGCGTGCTTTATTTATTTATTTATTTTTTGAGACGGAATTTCCCTCTTGTTGCCCAGGCTGGAGTGCAATGGCGCGATCTCGGGTCACCACAACCTCCGCCTCCCAGGTTCAAGCAATTCTTCTGCCTCAGCCTCCCGAGTAGCTGGGATTACAGGCATGCACCACCACGCCCGGCTAATTTTGTATTTTTAGTACAGACGTTGTTTCTCCATGTTGAGGTTGGTCTCGAACTCCTGACCTCAGGTGATCCGCCCGCCTCAGCCTCCCAAAGTGCGGGATTACAGGCATGAGCCACCGCGCCCGGCCTGGACTACTTCAGCTTTAAACATTTGCTGCAGACCCAGCAGTCTCCTGGGTGGAGGCAATGCTGACAGTGAGGGGGTTGATGGAAGCTGTGCACAGAATGTGTTTGTATATGTTGACCACATTAGACTATGTCATTCCAGAGAGCCGCTGCTGTTCCTCGGTAGTGGCAGCTTCACCCCAAATGTATTTTTAAAGTAGTGTATGAGTAATATAAGAACACTGCTGTTACATGGTAAACTTTCAATCAGTGTGTCTTCTCTCCCACCTTTTCTTTCTGAAGCTATGAGATAAAAGGTTTGATAGATGAACTTTAATGCCCTGTTATTCTAGTTGTAACAGCCTTGTGAAAATACAGTCTGTATACCTCGTAATTTATTTATTTATAGTTAAAACGAAATCCAAACATTTGCCCCCCCCGCCCCCATCCAAATTCAAAATTCTCTGATAACAAAGTAACACTGCAAATATTCTCTTATGTTGCAAAATCTTATAGGAGGTATAAAAATGAAGGGAAGAAAGTATGTAATTCCTGGTTCAGATGGTGCAACAGAAGTTTCCCTGTCATTTTCTCAGTGTGCTTCCCATTTGGTGTGGAAGTCATGCGGGAAAGTGGGGATTGTAGGTCAGTTCTCTAGACACAAGCACTGAGGGAATTTGGAGTGCAAGATGTTTGTTAGGGATCAATACATACGAAGAGAGGAAATGAGATGATGCAGGATTGGGCAGAAGGAGAAGCCCACTGACAGATATAGGACCAAGAAAGCCTCACCTACTCCAGCAAGGAGCTCTAAATAGAGGATAACCCAACTCATGTCCCAAGTTAGGCCCAAATGGCTGGACCTTTATGCTCCTGCCTGGCCAAGGGGCTTTCTACAGCTGAGGCTAACTGTGAAGGAGCCACAGCAACTCTTTCTTTGGAAAGAAGTCTGGGGGCAGGTCTCTATGTCTACCACAGTGTCTCGAAGACAAGGGAACAAAGAAACTCAATCCATTTCCACCTTTCATAAACAATCTTCTTGCTGATCCCAAAATGTAGCTTCGTCACAGCTCCAGCTATTTCTGCTGAAAGTATTGCTCTCTACTGTCTTTGTCTCCTACAAATCCACCCAGAGCAGTGCTGTTCTTTCTTACACAATTTCCTCTCCTGCTCAGGCCTTCAGCTTGGCCTTCTCCCAGAATCAATGCTAGTCTGTATTACCAAATTGGACGTATAACTATTCTGCCTTGCATTTTTAACATATGCATGTTCTGTTTTCTTAACTAAATTATAAGCCAGGGGCTGCAAGAAAAGTTTTATCTTGTACTCAGTGATGTTCATTTGTTAATGGCTACCTGGAGGAGATTTGTGTTGAGAAGGATTCTGAGTCTGAATCCAAGCGCAGTGAAAAGTACAACCATCATTGATGACCTTCACACTCACACCAGGGAGAGAGGTGACATCCTCTTTTATGTTTGACTTCCAACTCTGTTCTCAAGTCTCCACTTGGTGAGATACATATATACATACATCAAATATAATTAAAAATCAAATATATACAAATATATATATGATCTTTACTGTTTAAATGTAGAAATAAATTACTGTAAGTGTCTCAAGGGATCTTCAGTTGTGGAGCATAAGCCCCTTACAGAGAAGCTCCTATGATATATACCCAGAAGTGAACCGGCTGGATCATCAGGTTTTTTACTTCATTAAATATTACCCTATTCCTTTCTAGCTTTACATGAGGAGTTCTAGATCTCTCTACAATCTCTAAGAACTGCTGTTTAATCACTTGTAACTCTTACATTTGTTGACAAAAAAGCTGAACTCTATATGATATTTAAAGAGGTTTACCCTGAGCCACATATGAGTGACCATGTCCCAAAGCACAGTTTCAAGAGGTCTTGAGAACATGTGCCAAAGTTTGTTGAGATACAGCTTGTTCCTGTATGTTTCAGGGAGACAGAAGACATCCGTCAATACATATGAGGTATACGTTGGTTTGGTCTGGAGTGCCAGACAACATGAAGTGGGGGAGGGGGTGCTTGCAGGTCATAAGTGGACTCAAAGATTTTTCTGATTGGCAATTGATTGAAAGAGTTAGGTTATTATTTAAATACCTGGAATACAAGGGAGTATCTGGGTTGAGAAAAAGGGTTGTGGAGACTAAGGTTCTAATTATGTAGATAAAGTCTCATAGTTGGCTGTCTTTAGAGACAATAGATGGCAAATATTTCCTATTTAGACCTTTAAACGGTGCTAGACTCTTAATCTCTTCAAGATTAGGAGGGCCTGAAAGGTGGAAGATCTAATTATGTTAATAGAGATTCTTTACAGATGTAAATTTTCCCCCACAAAAGATGGTTTTGCAAGGCCATTTTAAAATTTGGCAAAGAAACATATTTTGGGGTAAAATATTTTTGATTTCCTTCATTATTTTTCATGTGATGTTTTGCTAGAGTCAGTCTGGAATTTGATATCTTTTTGCAGATCTCTGTTTTCATGTATATGCTGGACAATTGGGTCTGTACTCCAAAAGAAGAGTATAATGAGGCATGTCTGACACCCTCATTCCATCATGACTTTAACTAGTTTTCAGGTTTCTTTGGGTCCCCTTGGCCAAGAGGGGGGCCCGTTCAGTCAGTCAGGAGGCTTAGAAGTTTATTTTTGGTTTACACATTGAACAAGCATGATTCTTAGAATGAAATCAGTAGCACATTCAGCTTTGCCTCCCATTGTACTTTGAAATACTCTGTGCGGCTCTTTCCCTGTCTCTACAAGGGAAGTCCAGTAGATATCCTAACTTTTCTGTACCCCTTAGGAAATAAATATCGCATTTCAAGTCATAAAAGATAGTTTTAATTAGAGAATTAAATGCCCAGCCCATGAAAGAATCAAATTTTAATCTTGATTTAAAATTGAGTCTTCTCCCTCTCCCTCAGCTTGATCCTGTTGCAATCTGGAAGAATGCACTTAATCAATGTCTTTCCTCATTTTCCACACTGTGCTTCTATCATTTCTCTTTCATCTAGCTGCAAGGGACTCTGGCCCCTTTAGGAATAGAGCAAGGTAGGGTGAGAAGTGGTAGGGGAAACAGGAGAGTTGGGGTTGACTAGTTCTGTTGTGGCCATCTAGCAGCTGAGCTCTCTGGACTTGGGTGTTTTTTTAAATACTTTGAAAAATTGAGTTATAACTCTTATATCATAAAATCACCACTTGAATGTGTAAACTTTAGTGCTTTTTAAATTATATTAATAAGGTTAAGCAACCATCACCACTATCTAATTCCATAACATTTTCATCACCCCCAAAAGAAGCCCTGCCCTGTATCCATTAACAGTCATTCCCACTCACTTAGTCCTTGAAACCAGTAACCTACTTTCTGTCTTTGGATTTGCCTGTTCTGAATATTTCATATAAAGGGAATCAATAACAGGTGACTTTTTGTGATTGGCTTCTTTCATTTAGCACAGTATTTTCACAGTATGTTGTAGTAGTATGTATCAATACTTTATTCCTTTATATGACTGGATAGTATTCCATTGTGTGGTTATACCACGTTTTGTTTATACATTTATCAGTTATTAGACATTTGAGTTGCTTCCAGTTCTTGATTATCATGAATAATATCATTAAAATAATGCTGCTATGAAAATTCATGCACACGTTTTTTTTAATGTAGATATGTTTTAAATTCTCTTGAATATATACCAAGAGTAGAATTGTTCAGCAGTATATGAACTCTATATTTAACATTTTGAGAAACTTCCAAGCTATTTTCTACAGTGCCTGCATCATTTTAGATTCCCACCAGTAGTGTATGAGGGTTCCAATGTCTCCACATCCTCACCAACACATGCTATTTTCTGTTTCTTTGATTATAGCCATCCTAGTGGCTGTAAAGTATCAGATATATGATTACAAGTATTTTCTTCCATTCTGGAGATTGTCTCTTCAATTTCTTATTCACTTATTTATTTATTGGAGACAAGATCCCCCACTCTGTCACCCAGGTTGGAGTGCAGTGGCACAATCATACCTCACTGCAGCCTTGAACTCCTGGGCTCAACTGATACTCCTGCCTCAACCTTTCCAGTAAGTGGGACTACAGGCATGAGCCATGATGCCCAGCTAACTTATTTTTATTTTATTTTGGTAGAGACAGGGTCTTGCTTTGTTGCCCAGGCTGTTTTCAACTCCTGGCCTCAAGACATCCTCCTGCCTTGGTCTCCCAAAGTCCTAAGATTACAGGCATCACTGTGCCCAGCCCTTCTTCATTTTCTTGATAGTACCCTTAGACAAACAAATGTTTTCAACTTTAATGAAATTTTATTAATATGTTTTTCTTCAGTCACTTGTGCTTTTAATGTCACGTATAAGAAACTACTGCCTAATGCAAGATCATGAAGACTTACTCCTGTATTTCCTTCCAAGAATTTCATAGTTTTATCACTGACCTTTAGGTTTTTGATCCATTTTTTAGTCTATTTTTTTTAATTTTTGTGGGTACATAGTAGGTGTACATATTATGGGATACATGAAATACCCTGATTTGATCCCTTTTAAATTAATTTCATCATATGATGTGAGATAGTGGTAAAAATTCTTCTTTACCTGTGGATATCCAGTTGTCCTAGAATCATTTGTTGAAAGTACTATCATTTTCCCATTGAATGGTCTTTACATCATTGTTGAAAATTGGTTGACTAGAGATGTATGAGTTTATTTCTAAACTCTCAATTCCATTCCATTTGTCTACATGTCTATCTTTATGCCATTACCACACTTGATTGACTAGTGTAGCTTTGTAGTAAGTTTTGAAATTAAGAAGTGTGAATCTTTCAACTTTATTTTTCTTCTTCAAGATTATCTTTGCTATTCTGAGTCCCTTTTATTCATATCAATTTTATGATCAACCCTTCCGTTTTTGTAAAAAAGGGTAATTGAAATATTGTTAGGTTTTCCATTGAATCTGTATCTCAATTTTGAAAAATCTTGCCTTCTTAACAGTATTCCTTTTTTAATTCATAAACAAGGAATATATTTCTGTTTATGATTCTTTTATTTTTCTCAACAATGTTTTATAGTTTTCAGTGTATAAGCATTTCACTTCTTTAGTTACATTCATCCCTCAATATTTCATTATTTTTGATACTATTACAAATAAAAGTATTTCGTTAATTTTATTTTCAGATTATCATTGCTAATGTATAGTAATACAGTTGATTTTTGTATATTGACATGCATTTTGCATCCTTGGTGAATTTGTTTATTAACTCTTTTGTGTGTGTGTGTGTTCTTTGGGGTATTCCACATATAATCATATCATCTGTAAATAGAGGTAGTAGTTTTACTTCTTCCTTTCCAAACTTTATGACTTTTTTTCATTTTCTTGCCTAATTGTGTGGATAGAACCTCTACCACAGTGTTGAATAGAACGGGAAAAAGTGAACATTCTTTTCTTGTTCTTGGTCTTAAGGAAGACGGAAGCTTTCTTTTCACTATTAAATTTTTAAGTTTCCTTTCACTATTGCTATTGGTTTGTCTTAAATGCCCTTTATCATATTAAGGATGTTCCTCTTTATTCCTGGTTTTATGATGTTTTTTATCATGAAAAGGCACTGGATTTTGTCAAATGATTTTTCTCTATCTGTTGAAATGATCATGGTTTTTTCCTTTATTTTATTAATATAATTGATTGATTTTCATAGGTTGAAACACGCTTGCATTTCTGGGATAAATCCCACTTGGTTGCAGTGCAAAATCCTTTTTATATGCTGCTGGCCTCTCCTAGTATTTAGGTAAGGATTTTGACATCTATATTAATAAAAAAAATTGGTCCATAGTTTTTTCCTTGTGATGTCTTTAGTTTTGGTATCAAGCAAATATTGGCCTTATAAGTTGAGTTAAGAAGTGTTCCCTTCACTACTATAGTTTGGAAGAATCTGTGACAAATTGATGTTAATTCTTTATTAGGTTTATTTTGGTACAATTCACAGGTAAAGCCACTTCATCCTAGGCTTTTCTTTGTGGGAAGTTTTCTGATTACTAACTCAATCTCTTTATTGAGTCTTAAAAAGATTAGTTTCCCCATCTTGTAAGTGGTAGTAGCAGGACACAAACTCAAGTAATTCTCACACCAAAACCTTTCTTTTGAGCCTCTGTTGACTAAAATCCATACTTGCATTTATATATGTTATACTGCTACTATGAAGACAATACGTTCATGTTAAAACATTTTTTAATGGTAGAAAAGTACAAAGAAGAAAACAAAAATAATTCATTATGCTGTTCAATATGTTAGTATATTTTCTTTCAGTACATTTTCTAACTATTCTCTCTATGCATATATCTAATTTATATTAGATGTGATTGCTATCGTATTTCTTACACATTTTATTTTCTTCTTTACTCATTCAATTCTGTCCTCTCAATAGGTTCCTATGTTTCTAGCAGTTTTTCAAAAACATTATGTTAAATGACGGCCTAAAATTCTATGGTATGATTCCTTTAATTACAAAATAGTTTTCCTTTTTCCTGCTAAATATTCAGGTTATTTCAATTTTGTTCTTTACCGTTATAAATAATGCTCTCTGGATCATCTTGGATTTTGTTGCATCTCTAATTTTTTCCAATATTATTCCTCAAAGTGGAATACTGGATCAAAGACTGAGAGGAACATTTTTAAGGTTCTTCATCTGCTTGGTAAGCCAAAAAGTTTACGAAGTTTATACTTCTGCTTGTATAAAATAAATTTTTGTTTATTCCTCTCTGATGCTATTGTTGATTTTAAAATATTTCCTAATTTGTTAGGTTAAAAAATTGTCTTCTAGATATAATATTCAAAGTGGGCTGCTCTTCTAAGAGAACTGCAGAGGAGCAAACACTGGTGGCACTGGCATCTTTCCTCTTCATCTGCTTTAGTCATTATAAATGAGAGACTTCTCGCCATTAAACTCTTCATTCCATGCTAGAAATAATGGTGAAAACCAGCACATGAGCTCAGCTGTATGGTGGAGCCATGCACCTGTTCAGGATGTCTTTGAGCTTTGCTTTAATTCTCAGCTTAATAATAAAATGTAAAACCACTAGGGGCAGTCAGTTTAGCATGTTGGATATTCTCAGCAAGTGGTAACTAATGGAATTTAACATAGAAAATTGTATCATTATCCAAAAGATAATAATATCCATATTCCAATTTATCCTAAAAAACAACTATAACATATAAAATAAAATAACTAAAACGGTTAACCTAAAAGAGATTAGGCTTTTCTTGTATCTAATTACAATGAATATATATAATTTTACATAACAGAAAGTAGCAAAACAATTTTAATCAATATTTTCAAATCTTCTACCCTGCCTTCTTCACCCTACAAAACTTCAACAACAAAACTAAATAAACAAGGAATTAAATAAAATATATATTAGAACTATGTAAAGTAGCAAACTGGGCTCATTTTATTTTATTTCCTTTCTACCCTGGTACACTGCAAACAAAGTCACATGCACTGAAATTGCAAAATACTTCAAACAGAAGATGGAAAGGACAGAACCAGTGGCCTGGATAATCCACAAACTTGAGGAGCAGCCCTGGGATCATTGAAAGCTGACTGGAATGAAACAAACAAAAAAACAAAAAACAAAGAATGACTCTCTATACACAAATAAGCAATCAGTCTTCCGAACAATTTTAAAACTGTATGGTGGTATGTGGATCACTCCCTTGTAAGAAGACATTTCAAAGATTGAAGCGTGCTTGGAGAGCAACAGAAACGATTGCAAACACAGGCTTCTGGGACAAGAATGCTTTAGATGTCCTCTGCATCATTCTACAGAGAGTGAAACTTCCCATATGATGGCTGAGGGTCACCTGTTAGTGAGAGATGCAGGCTAAGTGTAGAAAATCCAAGTCCCATTGAGAAGTTATTTGATGGAATCACTAGAAAATCCTGCCATCAGTAGGTGTTGATGTTAAACTGGGAGAAATCTTTTTAACTATTTTACAAAAACTTTAGAAGAATAAAATACAATCTTGACTTGGAGACAATAAGCCCTGTCACTTACTGATAAGGTAATCCAAGGCAGTTCACATAGCAATCCTGGGCTTGGTTTCCAAGATGGACTTTATAGGGAAGCAAATCAGGCAAATAATCAGAAATAATTTTATTGTGGAGGACTACAAAAATGATTAACATTTTACCTATAGTATTTTGATTGTGTGTATATATAGCCTGTGCTTGGTGAATGGGAAAGAGTAAAACAACAGTAAAAGCACAGACTGCTATACTGAGTAGAAAGTCTGAATGACACAAATCACTTTTCATAAACTCAATGCTTACATGCAATGGGGTAGACATTTTTCTTGGGAAACTATTGTGTTCCCACTAAAATCCAAGAAAATCTACTTAATATCTTCACAGCATCAAAGCATAGAAGGTTTTCATTAAGAGGAAGAGGAAAAGAGAGAAAGAAAAATAGTGGAGGGAGGGCAGTTATTTTGCAGAGAATACTTTGAAAAGGAAAGACACCTCTGTGAAGCAGCAAATTAACTAGAACAAGAGAAATGAGTCAGTGAGATCAGGGATAAATCTGGTCCAGTTTTCAAAATAACTTTTGAAATGTTTTTCCAATTAGTGTAAATATAAAAATGGAAGCATCCTTTCAAATAAGGATAGGCATAGCCCTCGGAGTAGCAGAGAGTATAGCAGAATATCAGTAATGACACAGGCTGATGAGGGCTCAGATAGAATCAGAGCATAGACAACAGTCACAGTTAGCACAGGGTTCTCCCCACCTCTTTAATAAGAAGACATTGCAAGTCAACACTGAAACCTTGCTGAACGCTATGTGTAAGTTGTTATATTATTGCATGTAAATATCTCTGTGAAAAAAAATGAATAACTACATATACATGGAGAAGTTAATGGTTAGTAAATTTTATGTAATTTCCATCTTATACTTTTCAGAATAAATCTCAAAAGATTTCTTGCTGTCTGAGTTTGTCTCCTGTAACAGCTAACACTTCTAGCTAATTAGCGACCTCTATTTGACACACATATATCACACATACCTCATTTATTCATTCATTCAACAAGCATTTATTAAGCACTCCCTATTCCCTAGGCACTGTGCTTGGCTCAGGAAGATTAGTAACTAAAGAAGAACATTGTCTTTAAGAAATTCAGCATCTTATGGAGGAAGAATGCCATTAAAATAGGTATAGCTGTAAGTAATCATTATCCCTATCTCTATTACTATCTTGTCCAACTGATTCCAGAAGGATTTCACCTAACTTACTCACTGGTTTGGATCCCATGAAGAATATATCAATCTTCATAGATTCATCCATTGTTTATTGAATATGAAATGCTGGGCTGGCTTGATAGATCTAGTTACTCAATATTTAACCCCAAGTTGCGTGTCTTTTATTTAACTAAGCATAAAATGAACACGATTGAGTCAGTTCTGTCTTCAAATATCAGTTGGCCAGCTGGAATGTAAGAAGTCTATTTGTAGGACAAAAATAATGACAACAGAATTAGCCCCTGGCTATCCAAAATGGTTAATTTGATTTAGTGAGGGAAATTATGAATAAATATTAAAATCCAGAAGAAACTGCTGGTTATTGTACAATTAGCAATTACATACTAGCCATAGCTTTTAATTATATTGCTTGGACTATAATAGGGCAATACATTCAAAACAGCTTGGATTTGGCTTCCAAAACATGGCATGATGCATGCAACTTGTAAATGCCCACAATGATATTTTCTTCCATTTCACTATGGGAACTGAATTATCCTTCAGCAAATCAATCCATCTCTCACATTTGCACATAGTGGGCTAAAGTAGAGGAAACAGAAAAAAGCATTAGCCAGCTATCCTGTATCAGCCTATGTGCCCAGGACCCATGAGTGTCCCATGAGTGCTCCCCGTCACTGTCCATTAGCCATTCACATGAAAGACCATCACCTTCACTACTGCATCTGCTCTGAACAGAAGAAAAGAAGGACCATCACATATACTCTGCACCAGACTTCTGATTCTGCCAGATGGCAGTGGTCTTTAACCATATGTTGTACGTGATTAGAGAATGGATATTTCTATCTGCGTGACAAACTGTGGATTCTGGACAACCCTCAAGGGCCACCCCCAGATAGTAGAGCAGCAGCTGTCTGCCTGGATGTTTTCCCAACAGCCATGAAGATTACAGGTTTTGGCTCTGTCAACCCCAGGCTCAAATTGCAGCACCTTCACTGTGGGATCTTGGGCAAGCCACTCTCTCTGGGCCTTAATCGTGTCCTCTGGAAGCTTCAGGTTTGTAAATCTGTGATATTGAAATGGACATAGAGGTGGATGGCATCATACTGGAGGGTGTGGACTCTGGGACCAGCCTGGGATCAAAGCCTGCTCCTCCACTTAACAATTGTTAGACTGCAGGCAATTACTTATTCACGCTGTGCTTCATGCTCCTCATGCTTTACACAGGAATATGTATAGTGCCTCCAGAGAGTTCCTGTGGCAATTAAATGAGTTAACAAATAATTGCCCCTGGCAGATAAGTGACTATGCAAAGTGTTTGCAGTTGTTATTATCTCTCAGTGATAATTGAGATGAATTAATTTTAAAAATTAAAACAGTCTCCAGCACACAGAAATCATTCAACGGTGGTGGCAGTTGTTATTGTATTGTTATAACTTGTAATAGTGTTTTCCATAACTACTTCATTCCAGTCTAGCAGAGATGTATTTGTCCCTTGACTACCAGGTAAATTATAGCTGCATACCTGTTGCTACTGTGAATGCAGGGTAGGAACAACTACTTGGATCAAGCACAATGGTACCCAGGACTGGACTTTTTTCCCTTCCATTAGTCCAGATTTTAACATTCCTAAACAGCAATAACATTCCTAAGTATTTTTGTGACTTCCATGTGCAACTGAGGTCTTGGGCAATGTGAAATGTCCAGATTGAGATGGTGAAGCCCCAGTGTGCCAGGATCAACTCCTCCCTGGGGTGCAAAGATTAAGCTTTCTTAGAATTACGCTTGAAGTCAAGGTGCTAATTTTTTTTTGTCTTTGACAAATTATTATGGAAATGCTGATCTCTGAGTTCTTTGCTCAGAGGAAGCATAAATGAGTGCCAAACAAGAACTTAAGTTATACTTCTGGCATTCTGAAGATGTCAGGTAAAGGGCCAAGGAAAGGAGTATGCCACTTTTCCTATAAGCTGAAGAGGATATGAAATATATGATTCTCTTATATGATTTTATTGATTTAAAAGGTACACTAAGCCACAGAACTAATGGCATTTCTAAAAGTAAGCTTTTGGTTTATTCCCTTTGTCACTGTAGAATACTAGCCATGGGTATATTTATATTTTATTTTATTTTACTTTATTTTATTTTAGACAAAGCTGAAAGAGCACACTGTAACACACATCACACCACTTGGGCAGCCACCCACTCCTAGATGCTACCATGGGACCGGAGCCCCACAGCACGTGCCCCGGCTCCTGCACCTGCCCATCTGCTTGCTCCCCCTCCCATAGGGGGTTTGAGCACACGGTGGCTGAACACAGTAGCCACACCTCTGCCACATGTCCTGCATGGAATATCAGGGAATTCCCCCATCTCAATAATAGTGTGGATTATAACTTATAGAATAAAACAGGTATCCATGACCCCATGTGGATATAAATAAGTGATTGAATAAATACATATATGGGTGAAAAGAGAAGGCTTTCCCTTACAGAATAATTCTAATTAATATATGAAGAAGATATGGAGGAAATACAAAATTACTATTAGGCAAATACCACAAGAATAATTGCTGTAGGCAAGATTCACCAATGGATACTAAAATTAATGTTGGGGAGAAACAGCATATGTAGTCTCAAATTATTTCTCACAAAATATTGGTGAATTATAAAAGAAAAATAGTAATTTTACAGTGGAGAAACTGCACACACTGTCTTAATCAAGTGTTCAAGGTTAGAAATATCAGTAATAAGGCACATTGACAGCATGTATGACCTGATATACTGCACTAAGAAAGGCACAACATCACTTCTGTGCCATTCTCACATAAAATGCATAATCTCAGTCTAATCAATCTCAGTCTAATCATGAGAAATCTAAAGTAAGGACCATTCTATGAAATAACTGATCAGCAATTATCAAAAGTATTAAGGTCATAGCAAACAAGGAAAGAATGAGGATTGGAGGAGGTATTGCCAATTGGAGGGGACTAAAAAGATATAACTGAATACACTGTGGGAACAGAAAAGAAGATTAGCAAAAAACTGGTGAAGTTTGAACAAAGTCTGGCTTGAAGTTTAGTTAATAGCATTATATTAATGTTAATTTTCTGATTTCATTAACTGTGCTGTGATTATGCAAGATGCTAGTATTAGGGAAGTTGGGTGAAGTGTATATGAGAACTCTTTCATCCAAGTGCTAACCAGACCAAACCCTGCGTAGGTTCCGAGATCAGACAAGATCAGGTGTGTTCAGAGTGGTATGGTAGACTATGAGAACTCTTTGTACTATGTCTGTGACTTTTCTATAAATCTAGAATTATTTAAAAGTAAAAAGTTTTTAAAAATTCCTGGCACCTCACTTTGATTATTTCAAAACTTGTTTTAAGCTTTGCTAAGGTTAGTCTATTCCAGTTTTGTCCTTAGTTTTAAGGTTTTGGTCCTTAATTAGTCCTGGGATTAATTAGCACAGGTGTTTTCCCTTTTTTTGTTTGTTTTTAGATTTGAAGGATTTAAAAAATCTTTTTAAATTTAAATCGTTGTTTGGGTACAGGTGGTTTTTGGTCACACAGGTAAGTTCTTTAGTGGTGATTTCTGAGATTTTATTGCAGCCATCACCCGAGCAGTGTACATTGTACCCAATATGTGGTCTTTTATCCCTCACTCTTCTTCCAACCTTCCTCCCTGAGTCCCTAAAGTCCATTATGTCATTCTTATGCCTTTGCGTCCTCATAGCTTAGCTCCCACTTATAAGTGAGAACATATGATATTTGACTTTGCATTCCTGAGTTACTTCACTTAGAATAATGGCTTCCAGCTCCATCAAAGTTGCTGCAAAAGACATTATATCATTTTTTTTTAATGGTGAGTAGTATTCCACGGTGTATATATACCACATTTTTTTTATTGACTCTTTGGTCAATGGGTACTTAGGTTGATTCTATATCTTTGCACTAGTGTTTTCTATTATGTATTTGAACTACAGCTATAAAATAGTGAACTTGTCCTTATTATGTGAACTTTTTGGGGCTTCAATGAAAAGTCTGAATTCCTCTAACTAAGTATTTCTAACTTGGTGAGGCTTTTCCTTTTAACAGTAGGGTGAGCCACATATAGAAGAATTACTTTTCATGCAGCAAGCCTCCCCAGCATCAGGCTCACAGCTGGGCTCCTGGCATTCTCTTCTCACACATGCAGTTTTGTCTTTGATCAGTCATCTCTAAAAATCACCTGTTTGTCAATCTCTGTCCTTTTCCTCTACTTTGTCTTTTTCTTCCTATTGGTTATCACTACCTTATTACATTTCTTGTACAACAACATCACATTATGTTATACTGTGTTACTATAATCTCTTTCCTAGAAAATAAGCAACAGGAGCACAAGAACTTAGTTTTTTCCCCATTGCTGTATTTCCAGCACCTGGAACAGTCCCTGGCACTCAGTAAGAATTCAATAATATCTGTTCAGTGAATAAATGGATTATTACAATATTTTTTCAGGATTATCATTTTTATCCTCATTGAACAGACAGCAAAACTGGAGACTGGAAATACAGACAAAGTCATAAAACAGGTGGTGGATCTGGATTAAAATTCAGTGTTCTGAGTCTGAGCCCATTGCTGTTTCCAGAAAAGCAGAAAGTGAAGTCAAGGGTCTGGTGCTCTGGCTTGGGGAGAAGGACTAAGGGGATGACACTGTGGGCAGGTGACTTTTGCTGGGTGTCTCTTTACCATGTATCTGAGTCACTTCTTTTAGAGGTTGACCTGGCTGCTTTTTGTTTCTGATTATGTCCTATGCTAGCAGCATATGTATGGTGACCCTCAGCTGCAAAATGGAGCTAGGTTAACCCCTTGGTCTGGGGTCATCCACCCTGCCAGCTCCCCCTTTCTGAATTTGTTTGCTGAGCTTCTAGATTGTGAGTGAAATAGTTAAGGAAATGCCCCAAGAAGCTAGAAAGCTAAATAAGATCAGCATATACGTGCTTGTTTTTATTATATAGAATTCTTCAAATAACAATGACTTACTTAGGGCAGATTATTCTCTAAATACCTACCTTCTCTGCTACTGACTACTAGGTAGACCAAAACTGGGAAGATATTTGCGAAGCAGTTCTACGTGATGTCACTGAAAAGACCAACACAATTAAAATGTAATTCATTTCACATATTAACCAAAGAAGTGGGGACAGAAGAAAAGAAATGTCACTTTGAAAGCATTCGAAACAAAACATTTAGGAAATATACTCTCTGAAGATACTTTTCTAAAATCTGTTTATAGATATAACGAAAAAGTTCACATATTTTTGTAAATATGTTATAGCCACAGAATGTAAACCATGGATTTGTACAGTTTAGATTCTGCAGTTCATGGGGACATGTGCAATACAATTTTATTTCAATTTGTTACTATGTATAGCCCCAAAGTACTGAGAAAAGTCTGGCAAGATGAAATGGGTCTGTTCTGGATTGTGTAACTTAACTTGCTGATATCTTGCCTTAACCAGAAAAGCGATGTGTAGGAGAATAATACCAGGGAATAGTTTTTTCTTTTTCTCTCCCTATGTTTATAAATAAGTACATTTATTACTTGAGGGATGATGCTCTAAGATATTAATCTCAAAGCCCTTAGACTCTGATGCTCAGTGTGTTGGAAATTGCATTCCCAATTTCTCACTGCTTTTGCCAATTTTGCAACTCAAAAGTTGCATTAGTTTACATTGTAAGCAATATGTGTGTGTGTGTGTGTGTGTGTGTGTGTGTGTATGGTGTTTTGAGACTGAGTATTTGAAATCTGTGGTGTTAGCTCCAAGCCAGACATTCCCATTTAGTCATATAGCAAAGTCCTTTCCCTTAAATCACAGAAGTGAATAGGAAAAAAAAAAAAAGCAAAATGGAAAAATGAACCAGTTGGCATGATTTACTCACTTTTCCCTCAGGTGACAGAGCAGGGTGCCCTCCCATGCTTCATCTGGGTCAGGGGGTGCGCACACACCAGAAGGGCCAGGTGGGACTGTGAAGGGTGATCCCTCCTCTACAGCAGCAGTGGCTACTGGTGTCTGGCTGAGTGCTGTCATTCTAGAATTTGGGCTTGATATTGTCATTAATAGGTTTATAAAAGCCAGAAATCTCAATTTCCATTGAAACCTCATGATTTTCCAATATCAGCAACTAATTACAATTTTTAAAAACACAAACTGACTCCAAAACACGATATCCCAGCCATGAAATAAAATCCAACAGGAGTACAACGTTTGACATGCTGGCCCAGGTGCTGAACAGTCCATCCCAAGAAGGAGCTGTGAGAAGCAGCCAACTTCCTCACCCTGGAAGGGTCGGCTTCTAATCTGTTTGTGAAAGGAAGATGGTCTCATATCTGCTTCAAGGTGTTTCCAGCTATTTCTTTTCTCACTTTATCCTCACTTGTCCACTAGGAACCACTGTCCGGAGCTGTTGGCTATCAGCCACCTTGAGAGGATGCTGCAGCCCCAGGGCAACTATGAGGCCACCACAACCTCACTTTCCCTTCCTTGACTCTCCTCATTGTTACCACCCAGGTACGTGACACCCAATTGTACTGGAGAGAGGTGATGGACTAAAGGGATTAGAATTTAGAAAGATTTTGTTCTTTTTATAAACTATATATTTATGTTCACACATATATATATATGTATATATATATATATTTTTTTTTTTGAGACGGAGTCACACTCTGTTGCCCAGGCTGGAGTGCAATGGCATGATCTCGGCTCACTGCAACCTCTGCCTCCCAGGTTCAAGAGATTCTCCTGCCTCAGCCTCCTGAGTAGCTGGGATTACAGGCACGTGCCATCATGCCTGGCTAATTTTTGTATTTTTAGTAGAGGTGAGGTTTCACCATGTTGGTCAGGCTGGTCTCGAATGCTTAACCTCGTGATCCACCCACCTTGGCCTCTCAAAGTGCTGGGATTACAGACATGAGCCACCGCGCCCGGCTTATTTATGTACATATTTTTATAAACTATACACTTGTATGAATGCCTTCATAGTTCAAAGAGCAAATGCAAGACAGTGAAATGCACCATGGAATGGCTTGCTATTTCATCTGCTGTATCCTCAGCGGGTGCTCTCGTCCAGAACTTGATGGTGGGACTCCCACTCAGGGAAGCCTCTCCTTTCTTCCACAGATCCCATCTTCCCTGCTCCTTCCCCTCCCTCAGCAAGCAAAGTGAGGTGAGAATCCTGCTGTGGATTTCCCCATGTCTGGGTCATTCTGACAAGATCCTATTCAGAGACCCCTGTGGGGAGAGGAGGAAATGAGAGACTAGATTAGAGTGCTGCTTGGTGGGGAGTGGGAAGGGAAGGCCTTCAGCAGAATGCTTCCAAGTGGGCTTCAGCAACACAGTTTTAAGTCAGTGCAAAGCTCCCAGGAGGCTTTTACAATCCAGTTCAGGATCCTTTGAAGAAGATGCATCTCTTCATTCTTCAGGGTCACCTAGGAGGTACGTATCAATTAAACAACACACTCACATCTAAAGACAAGCTGTGCTTCTCAGTGGGCAGTGTGGACTAATCCACATGAAGGAAGCAAAACCTTTCTCTAATTGGGATGAAATCTGCCAGGATGGCCTCCTCCACAATGAGGGAGGGATCCCTGACTCAGAGCGGGGCTCATTCACCTTGGTTCTTCTGCCAGCTCTCCGTTGCCTACAGGTCTATTAGACAATAAAAAATGGGATTCATTAAAAGTGTCCTATCCATTAACCTTTAATGTCTATCACTTTGTGGGAAAAATCCCAGAAGAGTTTTTCAAATTATTTCGTTTCATTTTCTAGCTAGGTCGAATTCTTGGTAAAGGGTTTTCTGTAATCTTTGTACACAGAGAGGTCATTTCTAAGTAGCCCTAAGGGTTGAAGACGGTCTGGGTTGGTGGTTTTTCCTGCTTTTTTCCCATCAGTTTTAGGGTCTGAATTTTTCAGCATTAATAAAGCAATAACTTGTGGGAAGCTGTTAGTATAATTTTTATTTGGAATTGAGATTAAAATGTACTATATCATATATAGGTATATTTTGCAGCAATAATGGAAATGTAGAACACCATTTCTTTTCACAAATGAATTAATCTGTCTTTGCAGTCCATGGGAATCATTACAGAATAAGTCTTTCATTTTCCAGTTTTGGATTTTATATATTTAGAAGAGTATTTTCAGTAAGGAAAATTTTTTTTTTACAAATATCCTTTTTTTTTTTTTTTTGAGACAGAGTCTCGCTCTGTCCCCAGGCTGGAATGCAGTGGCCAGACTTCGACTCACTGCAAACTCCGCCTCCCGGGTTCACGCCATTCTCCTGCCTCAGCTTCCCGAGTAGCTGGGACTACAGGCGCCCGCCACCACGCCCGGCTAATTTGTTTTGTATTTTTACTAGAGACGGGGTTTCACCGTGTTAGCCAGGATGGTCTCGATCTCCTGACCTCGTGATCTGCCCGCCTCAGCCTCCCAAAGTACTGGGATTACAGGCGTGAGCCACTGCGCCCGGCCTGTTTTTTTTTACAAATCTCAAAGAGCTCGCTTTCTGGGATAACTGAGAAAAAGATGGCATTTCCATTGACAAAGCAAGCATTGTGACATTGTGAATGAAATAGTTATGACTCAGTTTCTCAATAATTTTGTACAGATGTATTATATATACTATGGCTAGCACAATGGAAAAATATATTTACGTAGGGTCAGAAAGACGAATCTATGTTCCAGTTATGTCCTTCCTGGCTGGAGGAACTTGAATAATTCAATTGGTATTGTAGGTTGGGTTTCCCAGGACACAGACTCTAAGACAGATGTTAGTGTTCAGGCGTTTATTAGGGAGCACGTTGGGATGAGCAGCTGTGGAAGGGAGGGGAAGGAAACAGGATTGGGCAGAGGAGCAATTCAGCTGAGATGTACCTGATAGCCTCAACTACCCCACTGCAGCTCTGGAGCTACAACGTTCCCGCAGATTTATCCTATGTTGGACCTTTATACCTCTTAGTCAGTTACTGGGTGCAGGATACAAACTGGGAGGGTGTGACCTCAGGAAGGCAGCTTTTTGCACCTGAGGCTATTTCTTTTTTCTTTTTTCTTTCTTTTTTTTTTGGAGACAGGGTCTTGCTCTGTCACCCAGGCTGGAATGCAGTGGCACAATCTCGGCTCAATGCAACCTCTGGCTCCTGGGTTCAAGTGATTCTCATGCCTTTGCCTCCTGAGCAGCTGGGATTACAGGTGCCCACACCAGGCTAATTTTTGTATTTTTAGTAGAGACGGGGTTTCAGCATATTGGTCAGGCTGGTCTCAAACTCCTGACCTCAAGTGATCTGCCCACCTCGGCCTCCCAAAGTCCTGGGATTACAGGCATGAGCCACCATGCCTGGCCTGCATCTGAGGCTATTTCTGAAGGGACCCACAGCTGAACATCGCTTGCTGACAAATTCCCTCTGAAGCTGGGGTGAGTCCTTTCTTGACGGTGGACCCAGGTAGGGGAATATCTATCCATCCCACTTGACTTCCGTGAGCTTCAGTTTTCTTATAAATACTGTTTGAAGACTGAATTCGATGCCTGTAATATACATAGCCTAGTGCTTAGAACTTCATTACCTTACAAAAAACACTATGATTATTGTTACTCAAAAGGTAGCAGTTGGGACAGGTACTTTCACAGTATCTGCTCAGACAGAAATGCTTTCAGCATCAAAAATTATTCAGAAGTGCTTCTTAAATAACTTATAGCTGTAACAACTTCTTGAATACCTAGTATTTTGTTTGTTTGCTTAGATAGAAAATTCCAAGGTAGAGTTGCTGTGGTGAATTAGGGAAGGCAGAGTTGGTATAAAGATACAAAGATACTGGCCGGGCACGGTGGCTCACGCCTGTAATCTCAGCACTTTGGGAGGCAGAGGCGGGTGGATCACGAGATCAGGAGATCGAGACCATCCTGGCTAACACAGTGAAACCCCGTCTCTACTAAAAATACAAAAAATTAGCTGGGCGTGGTGGCGGGCGCCTGTAGTCCCAGCTACTCGGGAGGCTGAGGCAGGAGAATGGCTTGAACCCGGGAGGCGGAGCTTGCGGTGAGCTGAGATTGTGCCACTGCATTCCAGCCTGGGCGACAGAGCGAGACTCCGTCTCAAAAAAAAAAAAAAAAAAAAAAAGATACAAAGATACTGGAGTGTCTCACAGAACTCTGCATTCCTATGCAGATGGATGTTAGGAACAATTGGCATAGGAAGACATAATGGTTTTATTCTACATGTTTGTCTCTGCTTTCTAAATAGCAGCAGCATCACTGAAACACATTTATGTATATTTTTTACCTTTCTTGTCCTGCAGATCACCTTCCTTCACTTCTTTGGTCTCCCATGGCAGAAGAGATGATAGTGACAGTGTCCAAGCTTTACATATTAGATCCAGCATCCAAGCAGTTCTGAAATCCCTGGAGGGCTCCAACTGGTTCAACTTAGGTCAGGTGTCCAGCCCTGAATCAATCAAAGGTGGCCAGGGTTACATTTTCTTGTGGCTCTTTCTGCTTCACACATTATATGATTAGGAGCAGAGGAGTTTTTTGTTTTGTTTTTTTTTTTTTTTTTTTTTTTGAGACAGCGTCTTGCTCTGTTGCCAGGCTGGAGTGCAGTGGTGTGATCTCGGCTCACTGCAACCTCTGTCTCCCAGGTTCAAGTGACTCCCCTGCCTCAGCCTCCTGAGTAGCTCGGACTACAGGCGTGCACCACCACATCGGCTAGCTTTTTGTATTTTAGTAGAGACGGAGTTTCACCATGTTGGCAGGATGGTCTCGAACTCCTGACCTCGTGATTCACCCACCTCAGCCTCTCAAAGTGCTGGGATTACAGGCGTGAGCCACTGCGCCTGGCCTAAGAGCAGTGGAGTTTCAAGAAAAAGCCATGAAGGTACTGAGCAGATAAAACAATAGGCAGCCACATGCTTGGAAAGCCAGGGAAAATGCTTTTCTTAGATGTTACTTTAGGAGAACAAAGACAATGTGGATCACTAAGAAAAGTAGATTATGGATCAGAGGGTAACAGGATTTATATCTGCTGGCAAAAGTGCTTCATAAGCTCTAAAATAGCATTTCAGTCTCAATAGATACAACATTTCTGCCAGCTCAACAAGGCTCACCTGAGTTGTTATAGTTACATTGGGTTTTTGGAGTTAAGTGGAGTTTCTAAAAACTCTTTTCTGAAACTGCATAGTTATTCTCTGTTCTCTGTTACATTTTCTGATCTAATGCCAATATGACAGTCCTAATGTCCTTGAAATTGTCAAGGATAAAAGAGATGAATGAAATCATTTTGAAAATGTGTTTCCTCACATTCAATATCCAATTCACTTATCTGGGTGAATTTTCTCTCTCTGGTAAGCAACATGCTCCAGCTTGGGAGTCACACACACTTGAGTTTAAATTCTGACCAATCTGCTTACTAGCTCTCTCGTCTTGAGCAAGTAACTCTTACTCTTCAATGAGTAACTGTCCCTACATCCTTAAAATCTTCAGCATCTTCTTCTTCTTCAATGAAACTTCTCACCATCTTCTTGCCTGAAAGCCAGATTGTTTCTAAGAACATTTCCCCTGAGGTCTTCTGAAGATTGGCTTGTGTTCTTTTTCTCATATCCCACTTGTCTTAGATGTTACCCCCCTCCCCAAGTTCTCATCCCCAACTGTTATTGTCAGATACTAGGTATCCCTTTTCCCTTGAAATGAAAAAATAACAAAATAAAATGGAATTTAAAAAATAAAATGAACCTTGCTTTTGTGAAACTTACACATTCATTTGTATAAGCTTCTTCTCCCCTTTAACAATCAAAATTCTGTGGACATGCCTTTATTCATTGATCCCTTTGTCAACAATCTAGGTATCCCCAGAGTGCAGCCTTCTTTTCCCACCCAAACTCTTGCCATCATTTCAGATGACTTCAACAACCATGAAGATGCCTTAACATTTTTGTCTCTCCATTCCTAGACCACCTCATTTTCAATTTTCCTCTTTACAATTGTACTATATCCACCCATCTCCCATAGTCAAGTCTTGGGCTGTGTCATCACTAGAAATGGCACCATCTCTGAAATCCTGAATTAAAACCATTAAAAAACCATTATTAAACCATTAAAAAAACATTATTAAACCATTAAAAAACCATCTCTGAAATCCTGAATTAAAACTATTAAAAAATGATGATTTTAAAACCATTAAAATCACAGCTTCCTATCATTTCAGCTCACATGTTGAGTACTGTTGCAGCAACAATTTTTCACCCTCATTATGAATTCTGATCCATTAACCCCACAATGTTCTATTTACTAGCCCCCTGCCCCTTGTTATCATTCTTTGACTGATTTACTTTCTATAATTCCCTATCGCGATCACCCTTTTGCAAATATCATCACCTCTATTGACTTCCTCTGCTTTTTTTCCCCACCTACCCATAAAACTCTAACCTTGAATGCACTCAACCACACACATTCCTATTACCTGTATCCAGTCAGCAGAGGGTTGCTGGAGAAAATCTTCCAATCATCTTGATAGTACTAAAAATTAGTGTTCACTAGCTCCATTTGGGATCTCACTCTTGCAACCCTAGGTATTCATATATGTAAATCCTTCCTACCTTCTCCAAATCTCCAATACTTCCCCCCGCTACTCTTCAGAGGTGGCAATATCCTTTACTTCATTGAGAAAACAGAAGCTTTCAAATGGCATTCTCCTCATTTTCCAGTGCCATGTCAACAAATCTACCTCCATGTTCCCATTCTCTCCTTCTACCCTCCTGATAATGCAGAAAATATCCCTTTTTCCATAGGCCAGTCCTTCGACACCAGCTCTGGGTTCCATTCCATCAACTCTCAGGGGCTCCATTCATCTGTAATCCTTTCTAGTTTGTACCTTAGTTTCTTGTTCTCAACTTGAGTCTTCCTATAAAAATTCAACATGCTCTGATATAAAATTCTCCCTGGACCCCATGTTTCTCCCCACTTACTGCTGTATCTATTTCCTTTATAGCCAAACTTTTAAAGTAAGTTGTTGACACTTGATTTTTCCATTTCCTCTGATTTCATTCATTCTTCAATCCATATTTTCACATTACCAAAAGCAAAGGGTGATTTTGAGTCCTCGTATTATTTGATCTCTTAGCATCCAACCCCAACGTCAGTTTTGCTACCTCTTAGGTTTCCTTGCCAAACCTATCTTGATCTTCCGTGATATCTTCATTCCCTAATCACAAATATTTAACATCTTTTTTTTTTCCTCAAAGTTTCAACATCCAGCAATTCAGCAAAGCTTGACTTTTTTTCCTTCTCAAAATCTAACTCCATCTGTTCTTTCCATTCCCTGCAATGATCTCTACTCAGTCACTGAGTACCTCTCTGTTCTTAGTTTCCTGACAGCTACATTAAACCCAGTGGGTACTGCTCAGTCTTCATTTTTCTTGCCTTACCAGCAGCATTGCTACTCCTAATGCCAGCTTCACCTCATGCTGGCCATTCACTGAAATATCCTCCTAACTGACCTGCCTGACTTAGATATGTACGTTCCACACCACTTTAATTTCCACTGTCAGTCCAACTTCCTAATACACAATTTGTACACAGTACAACTCTATAGCTCTTTCTCCAACCCCTCTTCCTCTCTTTGCCACATACTCAAAAAATAATTAGTTGCTTATTTTGTCTACAAAAAAAATCTCTGTGCCAACAATCAAATTCTATATAATAAAGTTCTTATTCACTCATAGAACTTCTTCTCCTGTAGCTTTTCACATATTTATTCTAACCGCATTTCACTATCCACAGTTACCTAAGAACTTCATGCACATCCTATTTTTGCACATCATATTGTCTCTCTGATATGACTTTTTTTCTCTTTTTTGCAGAATAAGACCTGTACTATTACTCTCCTGTGGTATGATGATGAGAAAAACCCAGAAATGTACAGTTTTGTTATCAAACTGTAGGCATGTTTATGTTATGGTAGAAACTGTGTGTTAAGGGTGGATAGTTAATTAACAGAAAAATCAGGCTGAAGGGAAAAATTAAAAGTAAACACACACATACATCTTAAACATTTTATTTTAATTTTATACATAGAAAATATATTTATTTACAATCTTGGGATGCATAGCCACAGCCATTACTTAGATTAGGCAGATTTTAGTTCCCCATCATCTTTTTGTAGTGGCTTAGGTTTCTCTTTTATGCAACTAAATTCTATGATTTCCAGTCTCCATTTTTTTAAGATAAATAACTAGCTAATTTTTTTCAAATAACCTGTATTTAGAAGAGAATGTTTTTTGTTTTTCATATTTTTTTCTCCAAACTTAGAGAATGATCTTGTCCACACCAAATAAACATGTTTTTAAATGTCTTGCATTCATTCAGTCTTTCCAATGCATTCAGTTTCATTAGAAACATCTCTCTTTTCATCCTCATAATTCATGGATTATGTGCTAATTTTTAAGTTTACATAACTATTATCAAAAGCATAACTGGTATAAGCAGATATCAGAACAAACACCACTGTCTCTGGATGTGCACAGAAATCTGCTGGTGAGATCCTAAATGTATGTTGGTCAATGTTCTCTAGTATATGTAAACCCTGTGCTCATTATGATCTTTTTCCTTTCAAAGGGCAGCAGATACCTTTATGTTTAAATAGTACAAAATGGGCATTGAAATAAGGAGAAAAATACTATTTGTAAGTTTAAATCATTACAGCAAATGAGTCATTTATTTTTAGTGGTAAAATTTAAATTACTTTTAATTAAAATATCTTCACTAAGGGTCAATTATCTAATTAGTATTTTTCAAAAACTGTTAACTAAATTTACTATTAATGTAATTGTGTTATTACTTCTTTTAGTTGAATATATAGATGGACATTTGCCGGTCAGCTAAGTTAGAGCACTCTTTAAAGCTAGTGACATCTCAGATTTTCTTAGTACATGCAGTATATATATAACAACGTTGCTTCCGGTATAAAGTTTATTTAAACAGATGCTGTTTATTAATACTATTAGTCACATTTTTACAGTATGACATAGTAGGAGGCAAAAAAATGAGATCCTTTAGCATGTAATATTGCTTACACTTTCACTTTTTGAAAGCTATAAGAGGAATTTAAAAAAAATTCTTTTGCAGGTTATGAGCACATTTATACAATTGTTCATTTCACTGGTGATCATTTTTCACTTCAAATATTAAAGAAGATGGAGCCATCTCTCTGGCAATGAAATTGTTATAAATGTAATCGACACTGGTCTAAGAGATCAAACTCAACTATTCTCAAGAGAGAGAAAGACTTTATGGTTCTTAACTAATATCTGCCTTCTTAAGGATTATGAATTGCTAGTAATACACTTCCAGATAGATGGTATTCTTTCTCAGTATATGCTGTTTAGAGTAGATACTACGGTAGAATGCAGATATGAGTCATAAGAGTCCTGGTTACTATTTCTAACTCTGAAATCACTGCCATTAAAATAGAAGTAGTTGTAGAAAATTTAGTAAAATATTATTTAACTACATATTTATAGATACTAAATTTATGTTGTTTCTTAATAATCAGTGGTTAGACTCAAGTTTATTTATAACACCTAAATTTAATTTTTAAAAAAAGATTTTATTATCAAATATCTGTACATATTTTGGGGGTACATGTGATATTTTGATAGCTATATAGGAGGTATAATGAAGAAATCAGGGTAACGGGAATATCCATCACCTCAAACATTTATCTTTTATGTGTGTGTGGAATATTAATATTATAATTCTTCTTTTTTAGCTATTTTGAAATACAAAATAAATTATTGTTAACTATAATTTCCCTACTGCACTATTGAAGACTAAAACTTATTCCTTCTGTATTTTTGTGCCCCTTAACCAACTTCTCTTCATCCCCCTCTTCCCTTCCCAACCTTAGGTAACCACGTTTTACTCTCTGTCTCCATGAGATTTACTTTCTGAGTTCCTACATATGAATGAGAACATGTGATACCTAAATTTAAATATTATGCTGAAAAGAAAATATTTGCATAGACTCCTCCAACTCATTCCTGTGCTCATGCAGGTGTTCTCCCTTGAGGAATATTTATCTTTCTGCATCAGTCATCACTCTTGCCTCGGCCCTCATCTTCCCTGAGAGCTAAGTCCAGTGGATGAACTGAAGAGAAAGAAGGGAGTGCAGTATAATTGGCAAAAAGGTGATTAAGAGGCAGCAATGGAACCAAGATGAAAATGGTTCTGTGAACTGAGGAAGTGGAGGCTCCTCTCCTCCAACCATGAGCTGAGATAAGTGAGGGCATCTTCTCTGGATAGACTGGCAAGGGTGCTGGGTCAGTTTCTGCAAAGTTGGAGAAGGCAGAGACCATGATGGTGTGTTACAGGGTCAGCCAGGGCCCTGCAAGCTCACAGTGGGGCATGGGCTGTTAACAGCAATATAAAAAGGAGGGTGTTTGCTGACGTCTCTTATTTATATCTCTTATTTTTCTTCTAATGTCTATCCATGTTACATACATTAAGAATTATCATTTAGGAACATAGTGACTATGTTTTTTACAAATACAAGATTGAAAAGGCTGCATATTTCCCTTTCTACACTTGTCATTCTTATTCAGCTTATTTGTATCTGTAGAGTATGCGTAATTTGTCCATGTGCAAAGATGCTGTGCGTGTGTAATAGACTATTGACTTTATCATATATTTGAGTAAAACTGAAGAAATAATAAGCAACATTTTCAAAATTGTCAGAGTAATAATTTTAAATGTGCTACAAAGTAATACTGTATTCCAAATAAGTTATGCATTCATTTGCTTAACTTTCACCCATGAAATCTTTATATAATTACTGCTTGTACTTTTGAAATCCTTTCCTACTATGTAGTTTGTAAAAGCTCAAAATAGATACTGACAGCTAAAAGTAAAATAATCTAACCACGGTATATTTCAGCATTTAAGAAGGAAAAGTTCAAAACTAGTTGTTATCCTATTTATTTCTGTAAATGCAAAACTCTGTTAATGCTTTTAGGTGAAGTAGGCCCAAATAATAGGCTATGTTCTGTCATGTCTGACTAAAATAAAAATTCAGCCTAAGGAAACTCCTTTTGTAGACATTATTTGTTCTACAAAAAGTACAAAAGTTAGCCGGGCGTGGTGGTGCGCAGGGATTGTATCTCCATGCTGCTTACTCTAGGTTGCAGTATGTTCCCAACATATTTTAATGGTTTTAAAATGGTATTTCAATTTTTCCATCAGTTTGTATGCTCAGCCACCTGTATGTTTCCTCTGCAAGTTTCCAAAGTGAAGGAAAGGAAATTTTTTTTTTCTAATATTGTATTAATAGAGAAATCTAGATTTTTGGATTAATATTCTTTAATAAACACCGAGTTGAACAGAACGGGTTGCTCTCTAATTGATTATAATTCCCACTGGAACACTTCTCCAGGTTGAATGAAGGTCCAGGTTTTTTTTCTAATTCTTCTTTCCAACCTCTATTCAGTTTCAGTTGAGAATCTAAGATTACAGTGACCAATCAATTTTAGGCAGGAAGGGACTGCACTGATTAGCTCAACTGCCTCCTTTTCAGAGAAACGAAAGCTCACGGGCCGATTTAGCAAAGAGGGTGTATTCTTATCCGTGCTGTCTTATTTTTCAAGATTCCAGACTAGTCATAAAGCAAATGGTATAACTGCTAGCTGATGGGAATTTCTGGAATGGATTTAAGTGTGAGGAAGACAAAGGCCTAGTGGTAAGGTCAGCTCTGGAGGTAGATTACTTGGATTCCGATCAACTTAGTTTGTGTTCTTAGGCAAATTACATAACTTTTCTGTGCCTCAATTTCTTTGAAAGAGGGTGTGTAATAGTATCTATCTCACACTGTAATTGTGAGGATTAAGTGAGCTATTCTACCAAAAGTATTATAACATGCAGTTAAACTCTCAGTGAACAGTATTTTTACCCAAATTACAAATTGCGAAACCCTTAAGTCTTGAGCTTTCAAGGAGAGTTAGGAACCCTCCTATGGCATTGTCTTCTAAAAATCTGCTGCACAAAGTTGATGTTTGCATCAACTTTGGAGCTCAAATGGATTACTTTAATGAAGTTTGGGGCAAATGGATTATATATACATAGGAAGCCCTCCCCCAACACACAGAAAGTATGTGGACACGCAGAATTCAAAAGTCTGAGGGTGGCTGTGCTCAAGGGGTAAAGGGATGCTTAGGAAACTGCCGTTTCTGGCCGGGCCCGGTGGCTCACACCTGTAATCCCAGCACTTTGGGAGGCCGAAGCGGGTGGATCACGAGGTCAGCAGTTCAAGACTCAGCCTGGCCAAGATGGTGAAACCCCGTCTCTACTAAAAATACAAAAATTAGCCGGGCGTGGTGGTGGGCGCTTGTAATCCCAGCTACTCGGAAGGCTGTGGCAGATAATTGCTTGAACCCGTGAGGCGGAGGTTGCAGTGAGCCGAGATCTTCCCACTGCACTCCAGCCTGGGGAACAGAGCGAGACTCCGTCTCAAAACAAACAAACAAAAACTGCCTTTTTCTCCTAGGAGGAAGGCGGGACCTTCAATGAGGGTGGCTGGCTACCAAAGAACTAAACTTTAACACAGAAAAGGTGAGTCGGTCTCCCTGAGACCACAGGCGTCCAACCCAGGCCCACCTCCCACCGCCTGGAAGGCCCAGGTGTGACTGGAGGGCGACTGAAAGGGTCAGACCATGTGACTGTTCTCAACTTTGGGCTTTTACACAGCAGTTTCAAAGACAAAGGGGCTTTTCAGCTAGGTTTGGTTTGCCGCCCTCCTCTTCCCAGGCCCAAGCTTGTTCCCCAATGTCCCCAGCGATGCTTGGGACGTCCCTTAGTTCTCCCCTTTCTTGGGGGGACCACCCCGCGCCTCTAGGTTGTCTTCCGTCCCTCCTAGACAGAGGTGGATTGCCGCGACATTTCAGGGAGGAGAAATGGAGGGGCGAGGAGGGCAAAGACGCCCTACTAATCTCCCATCTTCAGAACGCGTCCCACCACGCCCGCGAGGCCCCCTCTGGCTACAGCCCTCACCGCGCTTCCTCCTCGTGCCGCATCCTCGGCAGGGGGGAGGGGCGCGGTGCGGCCGGCGCTCTCTGATTGGCTGCCGCGTCGGCGATCCACGCCACAATTGTTCCCTAAGACCGTCTGCCGCCAGCGAGCGCCAGGTGCGGAGCGGGCGTTAGAAGTTGCTGGCAGTCAGAGGCAGGGGAGCTGTCACTCGCGGCGAGCCGGGCGGCGGCCAGGGCGCAAAGTTGAGAGCAGTCTCTAGTCTGAGCCTTTCAGTCGCCTTCCAGTATCATCAGTACCACGGGCTCCACCTTGCTGCGGCCCCTCAGCAACCCAGTGCACCTGCCACTCGACCAGGTAGGTAGGCCGAGGCACCCGGGCGTCGGTCATCGCGCCTTCGCCGCCCTTTGCGGCCGCGGTACTGCCAGAGCAGGGGGGCCTGGGAGAGGTGTGGGGATTGGGGCCGGTCTCTCGGTGCCCTCCTCCCGCCGCCGGGAATTCTGCGTGTCCACGTACCTTCTGTGTGTTGGGGGAGGGGTTCCTATGTGTATATAATCCATTTGCCCCAAACTTCATAAAAGTAATCCATTTGAGCTCCAAAGTTGATGCAGACATCAACTTTGTGCAGCAGATTTTTAGAAGACAATGCCATAGGAGGGTTCCTAACTCTCCTTGAAAGCTCAAGACTTAAGGGTTTGGCAGTTTGTAATTTGGGTAAAAATACTGTTCACTGAGAGTTGAACAGGGAGGCGAAGACAACTTTGTTTTTTCCCGGGAGAGCCCTCGCTCGGAAGTGCCTCCTCCCTCCTTCTGCGGCTTGCGCCCCAAGACCTTCATCCGCCGCCGGGGCCGGGGTGGGCCGGGCGTTGGTGCCGGCGACAGCCCCCGGGGAAGGTCTTCATACAGACTTGAGGGTGTGCGTGCTGGTCCCTGCCCTCCGCCGCAGCGGGGCTGGGACTCAGCAGTCGGGTCCCGGAGCTGCCTTTGGTGCGCACGGGCGCGCACGGGCTGGGGTGTAGACGGGGCGCGGAAGGCTGTGCTTCGCGGAGGCCTGCGTGGTGGTGCCTGCCCGGAGCGTGGCTCTGAGCGACCACTGGAGAGGCTGATGCATGGGTCTAGGTGAGAACGGTGCATTAGCGATGGCGTTGATGGGTGCGAGGGGGCACAGAGAGGCCTAAGTGCTGCTGCACTTTGGGGACAGTTTGCATTGGAGTGTGGTTTAAGGGACACAGAGGCAACAGTTTCGAGGAGGGCAGAGAGGTTATGAAGAAAAGTCAGAGGGATTTATTCCCAGGATTCTAGCTGAGAAAGTTGCATCCTTGTAGATAGAAGCAGCCACTTTTACCTCCTGGCCCAACCCTCAAAAAAGCACTTGGCAGTGTCTATGGAAGGGTGGCATTTAAATGAGGCCAACGAGTCTGATGGTGAAAGGGCCTAACGGTTACTGAGAAATCAACAGTATTGTGATGGGAAAAGCAGCGCCATTTTTATTCAGCAAAGAAAGTTTGGAAGTATTTTATTGTGAGAACTGAGGATAAGATTTAAGGAAGTTGTTGATGGGGTGTGTGGGGGTAGAGTTAGGTGATTGCTGTAGCCTCAGGCTAAAGCTAGTTGACTTTGGAAATTTTGCTTACAATTATTTCAAGCATACTTGCACTTTACACGGGATACTGGTTCAAGGTCCTTAGCTAGAATGTGCTCCTGTTGTTTAATCTTCAGGGATTTCATTTATAATATAGGATTCCCCCTTGTCCAGACGACTTTTCCTAGCAGCAAGCTGGAAACCTGACATTAGGGTACAGGTTGCCGTGTGCTTTACTGTTTAAAATAAAATAAAGTATGTGGAAGGAGTGTAAAATAATTCTGCCTTCTGTTGAAATCTCATATTGCTGTCATAACTTCCAGTTAAATAGTAAAGTACCTATCCCCACCTACCTTCAACAGCAGTTATAATGTGTATCATGCAAATAAAGTATTGGTAATGAAATTAATCGTGTATTTGAAGAAAACACTATTCTCTGTTTATTAATAAATTGATCAGAATTTAGAGTTTTTCATCTTCTCAGCACTGTGGAGGATCCTCTTTGTTTTCCACACTGACATGCAGTGTATGACCTTTTAGCATATCACACTCCTGATTAAATAGGCTGCTGACAATGTATCAGCAAATGCAAACATTTTGCTGATGAGGGGCAAGGGAGATAGGCGTATATATTTACATTTCTTTTAGGGAGACAAGCATATATTCACATTCTGTCTTTCTCTTCCCCCTCTTACTTTCCCTTCTCCCAACCCCACGTCTGCCATAGGCTTACCCTCCGTCCCATGCCGAAATATTTTCTTGACTGTGCTAATAACACCTTTTAATTTATATAATGTGTATAAGTTTTTAAAAGTGATTTGATAGTAATGAACTCATTTAAACATATCAGCAACCAGAGAAAGTTCTTTTTCAGTACTGAAATAAGCAGGAGAATCAAGAGAAGGAGACAGGACTTAAAAATTTTTGACATCCTTCTTTATTTAGTCAAAGGTCTTGAGTTGGTACCTTGGGACTACTATAAATTTGTACAGCCACGTATAGCCCTAATTTGTGTAGTACAGTCATGTACTGCATAGTGCCAGTGAGGTCATTAGACCCCATATATGATGCTGGTCCCATAGATTATAAGGGAACTGAAAAATTCCCGTTGCCTAGTGAAGCTGCAGTATTCATAGTGTCTTAGGGCAACACATTACTCATGTTTTTGTGGTGATGCTGGTGTAAACAAACCTACTGTGCAACCAGTCCTGTAAAAGTCTAACATATACAATTATGTACAGTACATAATACTTGATAATGTTAAATACATTACTGGTTTGTGTAGTTTCTATACATTTTATCATTGTTTTAGAGCGTGCTCCTGTTGACTAAAGAAAAGTTAACTATGGAACAGCCTGAGGCAGGCTAAGTGCAATTACACTACAATATTCAGGAAATATTCCAGAAGATGGCACTGTCATAATAGCAGATGACAGCTACATGCATGTTATAGCCCCTGAAAACCTTTCAGTGGGACAAGATTAGAGGTGGAAGATAGTGATATAAATGATCTGGACCCTGTGTAGGCCTAGGCTAATGGGTGTGTTTGTGTCTTAGGTTTTTTTTTTTTGAGATGAGAGTCTCTCTCTGTCGCCCAGGCTGGAGTGCAGTGGCACAGATCTCGGCTCACTGCAACCTTCACCTTCTTGGTTCAAGCAACTCCCCTGCCTCAGCCTCCCGACTAGCTGGGATTACAGGCACACGCCACCACATCCAGCTAATTTTTTGTGTGTTTTTAATAAAGGCGGGGTTTCACCATGTTGGCCAGACTGGTCTCAAACTCCTGACATCAGGCAATCTGCGTGCCTCGGCCTCCCAAAGTGCTGGGATTACAGGTGTGAGCCACCATGCCCGGCCTGTTTGTGTCTTAGTTTTTAACAAAAAGTTTTAAAATTAAAAGTAAATAGAAAACAGCTTATAGAATTAGGATATAAAGAAAGAATACTTTTGTACAGCTGTACAATATGTGTTTTAAGCTAAGTGCAATTACAGAAGAGTTAAAATGTTTATAAAGTAAAAAAACTACAGTAAGCCAAGGTTAATTTATTACTGAAGAAAGAAGAACTTTTTAAAAATAAATTTAGTGTAGCCTAAATGTAGAGTGTTTATAAAGTCTACAGTAGTGTACACTAATGTCTTAGACCTTAGCACTCACTCACCACTCACTCACCCAGAACAACTTTTAGTCCTGCAGTCTTCATTCATGGTGAGTGCCCTGTATAGCTATGCTATTTTTTATCTTTTATGCTGTATCTTTACTGTACCTTTTCCAAGTTTAGATACACACATACTATTGTGT
This sequence comes from Homo sapiens, assembly GCF_000001405.40. Classification (NCBI taxonomy): domain Eukaryota; kingdom Metazoa; phylum Chordata; class Mammalia; order Primates; family Hominidae; genus Homo; species Homo sapiens. The sequence continues at coordinate 130,058 of NW_017852931.1, forward strand.
TAGTTACTACAGTATTCAGTACAGTAAGCTGCTGTATACGTCTGTAACCTAGGAGTAACAGACTGTACCATCTAGCCTGCATGTGTACCATCTAGCCTGCGTGTGTCGTAGGCTAGATTGTCCAGATTTACGTAAGTACACTGTGATGTCCACACAGAAACGGAATTGCCTAATGATGCATTTTTAAGAATGTATCCCCATCATTAAGCAACACATGAGTATATTTTCAGTTGTTTTCTATTTGAGCAAGTCTTGGGAATATTTGATTAATACCACTCAAGCCTTAACTTTTCATACCGATAATAAATTGTTTCTTTGACGCACCTAAGAATTGACTTTCTAGTTGATGAAGTTCTTGGAATAACTGAAAACTCACATTGTAAAATTGGATGAATAAAATCATTTAGCTATCATTTTAAAGTTGAGCATTTTATAGAACATAGAACATTTTTATAATGTAAATAGTCCAGGTTGAGAGAAAGCTTATGAATTTGTTGTAATCAGATAGTGTGAGTTAACAGGAAAAAGACACATCAGGAAATGAAAAGTGCAAAAATATAACATCAGTTTATTAATTTGGTATGAGCAAATTAACAGTGTTTTGAAAAATTAGGAAATTATAAAAGTAGTTATTTGATGTCAGATGAAGAAAAGAACTTTAGTGTAAGAAAAACAGTTAACTTTTTACTAGAGTAAGTGTAGAATTTATGAGATGATAGAAATTAATGGTCTGTGTGGAATGTAAGAATATGCCTTGCAGGGCCAGGTAGCAGAAAGGAGGGAGTGTTTTGCAATAAGCCTGAGGCCGGGGAAGGAAAAGGAGCAAAAGATCTTGCCATAGACTCCTGGATTGTTTAATCATTACTGAGAAGTCCAGAGTGACCTTGAGGTAGCCATAGTATTTGTTCATTAGGCCTTAAATCTTAAGAAAAATATAGAATCTATTATTAAGTGAGGTTACACCATGCTTTAAGATAGGAAGTATCTAGCATCTGAGGTTTGCCTTTGTAGGCCTTGCTTTCCAGATGATTTTATTTCTAGGGTAATGTTTAGTAGGTGGTTATGATTAAAGGAATATATGGAGAGAAGGTTTTGAGGAAGGAATTGGACTAAGGGAGACCTGTGCCATGAAAAAGGGCCAGATATGCAATTTAGAAGACACCAGTATCATTGAACATATTTGTATTTTTTATTAGTTTCTGATGTGCTGATGTTCAGTTCATCTGTAACTTAAAAAGTAAGGTGGGTTGGGCGCAATGGCTCATGCCTATAATCCCAGCACTTTGGGAGGCTGGGGCAGGAGGATCACCTGAGGTCAAGAGTTCAAGACCAACCTGACCGACATGGTGAAACCCTGTCTCTACTAAAATTGCAAAAATTTACTGGGCGTGGTGGCACACGCCTGTAATCCCAGCTACTCAGGAGGCTGAGGCAGGAGAATCGCCTGAACCCGGGAAGCGGAGGTTGCAGTGAGCTGAGATCATGCCATTGCACTCCAGCCTGGGCAACAATAGTGAAACTCCGTCTCAGGAAAAAAAAAAAAAAAAAGTAAGGTGGAGTGAAGTATTTCATAATGTTTTTACTGTTTATGAGTGGATTCTTTTTTTTTATAACATATAAATGTATTTGATACTTCTGCATTTCCAATTTCATTTGTGTTTTCACTAATGTATTATGTACCCTAATAGGGAACTGAATTTTTTTCATCTGATTGAGAAGGTAATACATTTTATTGTATAAAATTTATGAAATAAAAACATATAACTGAAAGTTTAAAAATCACTCATTTTCCTTCACTCCAGAGAAAACTTTTGTTAATTTTTTTAGAATGCGTGTGTATATTGAAACAAAATTAGAGTCACACTGAATATAAAGTTTCTGTAATACAGCCACCATATTGTGAGGAACCTCAGGGCATAAAAAGATGCCTTGTATAGGTGTTTGAACCTCCAGGCCCCACCAAAGTCTCAGGTGACAGCCAGCATCCATCATCTGATATATGAGTTAGTGAGCCTTTAGATAATACCAGTCCCTGGCTGATGGCAAATAGAGAAGCAATGAGTTATCCATGCTGAACCATGCCAAATTGCAGATTCCAGAGCAAAAGAAATGTTAGTGTTTGCGGCCACCAAATTCAAGGGTATTTCTTAGGTCATCAGAGTATTCATTTTGCAATCATATATTTTAAAATAATTGTAATTGAATTATAACATATATGGTGAAATGCATAGACCTGAAGTGTGTAGTTTGATCAATTTTGACAAATGTGTACACTTGCGTAACTCACACTTTGTAACCCTTGTAAAGGTGAACATAGTAGACCAGAGTGAGCAAGGTGTAAGTATTAGATGATGAGTGAAAGAGATTGGGAGGCCTTTGGTTATAATAAAAATATCATAGGAAGCCATCGGATTTTTAGAAATACACGTTGTATTTTAGAAAAGTTTTAAATTTACAGAAAGTTGTGAAAATAGTAGAGAGACTTCCCAAATAACTTACATCCAGTTTTTGCTGTTGTTAACGTGTTATATTAGTATTGTCATTTGTCGCAACTTGTGATACATTATTATTGACTAAATTCTATACTTGATTGATTTCTTTAGTTTTTACTTAAGGTCTGTATTAGTTAGCTGCCGTAACAAAATACCATAGACTGTGTGGATTAAACAACAGAAATTTATTTTTTCACAGATCTGGAGGCTGGAACTCTGAGATCTGGGTGCCAGCATGATTGGGTTCCAGTGAGGACTCTCTTCCTGGCTTGCAGAGGGGCACAGTCCCCTTTCCTAGGTGTGTTCTTGCTGAAAGAGAGAAAGAACAAGGTCTCTGTGTCTCTTTATAAGGGCACTAATCCCTTCAGGCCAAGGCCCTGCCCTCAGGACTTTATTGAATCCTGATTACCTCCCAAATGCCCTATCTCCAAATACCATTACATTCGGGGTTAAAGCTTCAACATATGAAGATTCTGGGCGGGCCACAAACATGCAGTTTATAACAAGGTCCTTTTTGTGTTCCTGTATCTTATGTAGGTTACCATATTACATTTAGTCGTTGTGTCTCCTTAGCTTCCTTTAGACTGTGGCAGTTTCTCAGACTTTCCTTTCTTTTTTGTTAACCTTGTCAGCTTTGAGGACTACTGGTCATGCATTTTGTAGAATGTCCCTCAAGTGGGATTTATCAAATGTATTTCTTATGATGTGTCTGGTCTTATGGGTGTTTGGGAGGAAGACCACAAAGATGAAGTGTCGTTTTCATCACATCATACAAAGGGTATGTGCTTTCAGTGTGACTGATCATTGTTGATGTTAATTTGGTCACCTGGCTGAGGTAGTGAAGCAGGATAATTTCCCTGACCCCTTTGCTGGTGGGAACTGAGATGTGGGTGCCGGAAGTAGCCGGCCACTTAGGTGCTGGTAGGGGCAGACCCCACTAACTGGAACCCCCTGTGCTCAACCCCCCGTGGGAGGGAACACACAGGTAAGTGAGCATAGGAGCCGGGTTGAGTGCTTTTGGGTGCCGGCAGGAGCAAAACTCTGTGTGGGCCCCGTGGCCCCAGAAGGAGTGTTACAGTCAGTGCTCTTTTAGCTTTGCCATCCATGGACAGTTTAAATGTTAACAGCTTAGTGGAAGGTAAATGTGACAGCCTTTTTGCACCTGCCTGGAAGAGAAGTGGCTGTGGAATATGGGAAAGGGTGAATATGAAAGATTTTCCTTTCGACTGTGTTAAGTTTCAGATGCTTGCTATACTCTGAAGTAGAAATGTGGAGACCATTGAAAATGTGAGTCTGGAGTTCAGGGTATGGGGCAGGACTCAAGATTCTATTTGGAGGTTGCACATTTTATCTTTAAAGGATTCTGTTGTATTTTTCAGAGTAAGAATTTCGTTTGATAGAATAAAGAGCCTGTGGTCATTTGAGTAGAATGATGAGAAAAATTTAAATCAAACTTGTTTTTTTCCTGAAAGCATTGTGAATAAAGATAACAGTAAAATATAGGTGATTTTCAATCAGCATCAGTGACCCATCTGTATCTGACCTGAGTCCCAGCTGATATAGCCAGTTGAATAGCAGAAAATTCAGAATTTGATTTGCATGTCTTAAAGCTATTGAGAAGAAAAATTAGACATTTAATTTTTTCCCCCTAAGGAACTATGTGCATATATTTTTGAGCCTTACCATTTTTTTTTCTTAGAGGGAAAGCAGTCAGGAGTGGGAGGCCTCTGAACAAGCTGTATTTTGTGTAGCCGCCAGCTTCCATCTTTCTCCAGGCAGAACGCTGGCCCTCAGCACATCTTTCTGCTTCCCCTCGGTCAGACCACCGAGAACTGCCGCTGTCCTGTCTGACTCCTCCTGTTTTGGTGAGTAATATAGGGAGGCTGAGGGTTTGATATTATTTGGCTCCATATTTTAAAAAGATATTTGGTAGTTTATGTAAAATTACGTCTAATTTGATCAGTACCACTTATAACTTTAAGTTGTTGTACAGAAATTGATCCTTTATTATTTAGAAAATAGACTTTAAAGTTAATAATATTGGGAGAATTCCTGGTTCTTTCCTTTTCCCTTCCCTCTCTTTTAGTTCTTTATTTATTTTTAGAGCTCTTTGTACTGGTACATCTTCCCTTTCCTGGGGAGTTGATTTTAAAAATTAGATTTGCAAGAGGTATCCTTTTAGAGGATGATGTAAGCCACTTGTACTCAAACTTAAGGAAAATAATTTTTTAAGTTCCCTGTGTGCCCTTTTTAGATCCCATCCCAGAGAGGAGTGACTTCTGCTAGATTGTGTTATTTCCTTTCTTTCTTCATAGTGTTGTCAACAAATATATATATGTATGTGGTAATAAACATGAAATTTACCATCTTAACCATCTTTAAGTGCACAGTTCAGTAGTGATAAGTGTATTCACAATGTTGAGTAGTAGATCTCCAGGACTTTTTCATCTTACAGAACTGAAACCATATATTAATTAAACAACTCCCTATTTTCCCCCAGGCCCAGCCGCTGGCCTTTTGTTTCTATGAATTTGACTGTTCTAGATACCTCATATAAGTGGAAATGTACAGTGTTTGTCTTTTTGTGAGAGGCATATTTGAGTTAGTATATGTCTTAAGGGTTCACCCATGTTGCCACATATGATGTATGTTATGTGACTCATAAAAACCAGAATTTCTTTCCTTTTGAACAGCTGAATAATGTTCCATTTATAAAGTTCTTAATTTTCATGTTACTGAATTTATAACATTCATGATTTGCAATATTTTTATACCTAGGTTAGGAAATTCTTCTATATCCTGAGATCATAAAGATAGCCTTCTATATTTTTAAGAAGTAATTTTTTTTGTTTTAAAACAATATTAAATTTACAGGAAGGTTATGAGTACAATTCCGAGAACATTTGCTTTTTCCTGAACCATTTGAGAGTAAGTTGCTGACTTGGTGACCCATCGCTTCTGAATATTTTGTGGTATTTTCCTACAAAAAGGACATTCTGCTGTGTAATATCAAAATGACCATCAAAATGAGAAAATTAATACATTTCCATAATCACATCTTTGACTTTATTCAAGTTTTACCAGTTATCTCATCAAATTCTGTTTAGCAACAGGATCTAGTTCAGAATTACAGGTTGCATTTAGTTCTCATGTCTCTTTAGTCTCTTTAAGTCTAGAACACTCCCTTTATTGAAGTGAGCTGTATTCTTTCCTCTTCTGTTTTCTGGGAAGGATTGTATAAAACCAGTGTTAATTCTTTTTTAAACATTTGATAGAATTCTCCAGTAAAACTATCTGGTCCTAGCGATTTTTTTTTTTTTTTTTTTTTTGAGGTGGAGTTTTGCTCTTGTTGCCCAGGCTGGAGTGCAATGGCACAACTTTGGCTCACTGCAACCTCTGCCTCCTGGGTTCAAGTGATTCTCCTGCCTCAGCCTCAGTAGCTGGGATTACAGGTGTGTGTCACCACACCCAGCTAATTTTTTGTCTTTTGAGTAGAGACGGGGTTTCACTATGTTGGTCAGGCTGGTCTCGAACTCTGGACCTCAAGTGATCCACCTGCCTCAGCCTCCCAAAGTGCTGGGATTGCAGGTGTGAGCCACTGCGCCCGGCTGGCCTAAAGATTGTTTTCCATGAGATTCTAAATTACAAATTCAGTTTTCTTAACAGTTAGTCATAGGGCTATTTAAATTCATATTCGGTGAGTTGTAGTAGTTCACGCTTTTTCTGGAATTGGTGCGTTTCACCTAAGAAATTCTATATTAGCTAATCTATGGGGAGTTTTATTCTTCCTTACCTTATATAGACATATTTTCAATGAAAAGATAATCTGATTTATGTATTTATAAAAATAAATGTATATTTTATATCTATATCATATAATTTTACATCTATATCATATAACTTGTTTTTTTTCTTTTTTTTTTTTTTTTGAGACGGAGTCTCACTCTATCGCCCAGGCTGGAGTGCGGTGGTGCGATCTCAGTTCACTGCAAACTCCGCCTCCCAGGTTCACGCCATTCTCCTGCCTCAGCCTTCTGAGTAGCTGGGACTACAGGCACCCGCCACCGCACCTGGCTAATTTTTTGTATTTTTTTAGTAGAGACGGGGTTTCACCGTGTTAGCCAGGATGGTCTCGATCTCCTGACCTTGTGATCCGCCCACTTCAGCCTCCCAAAGTACTGGGATTACAGGCGTGAGCCACCGCGCCCGGCCTGTATCATATAATTTGGATCAAACTCTAAATGTAGCCAGGACATCAGTGGCAGGCTATATTCAGCACTGATGGGAGTCTCAGTGACCTGTAAAGCCTATGTCTCTCTACACACTTCCTAGTTTGCTCTGCATGAGTCTCTGACCATGCAAATAGCTATATTGTGGCTATACTGTGCAGACAACTCATTCTATTTCAATTTTTTTCCATGACTTATTATTCAAAATAATGTGATACAATAAAAATCAGATTTGCTATGGTCCCTGACCTCAGGTTTGCTTAGAGTCTCTGCAGGGGTTACAGAGAAGTAATTAGGAAATCAGAAATCAGTGTGGTTAATGTTCTGATGAGGAGGCAACAGGTCCTCATGAGAACAGAGAGAAGAGGTATCTGTTTTATTCTCTGCATCTCTAGTACCTAGTACAGGACCTGGCACATAGTAGGGTCTCACTAAATCTTTGTTGAATGAATGAATAAACTCAGCTGGGTGATCACAGGGTCACTTTTGGGGAAAACTTATGTCTGAGCCAAGTTATTGATATCTACAGGCAGTAAATGAATGGAGGGAATTCTCTCATGTGGATGCAATAAAATTCAGTGTCATAGAAGAACACAAAGCTTAGCAATCTAAATAGTTATCTAAAGCTGTCTTATTTGCAAGTGGGGAGTGGTTTTCAAAAGTGATTGCAGACTGAAGGCTAAGCAGAAGTAACTCTGACTAAAGTATGTATTGGACAAGGTTAGATGAGAACCGGAATTGATTTTATGAATTAGCATTTTTGGTTCTGGCTGTTGTATTTACCATTGCTAAGTTTAGTTTTTAACATATCTTAAAAATAATGATCTTCAAATGAATGAGAAGTATTTTTTGTGAAGCATGGTACAGCTTTCTCCAGGTCTTAACTACTAGTCTTATTCATATTATCTTTGCTTTAAAACAAAACTTTTCTATGTTCTAAATATATCTGTGATAAATCATGAGTTTACCACTAATAATGGTGGGTCATATATTTGTGTTTTCATATGCCAGGTACTGTATTTAGAGCCTGCCATGGGTTATCTCATTTAATCCGGACAGTGGCCTGTGTGTAAGGAAACCAAACCTAGGGCTCCCATTTTATAGAAGAGGCAACTAAGTTTTGGGGAAGTTAGATAGTGTGTACCCAAGGTCACTTAGGTAAGCCTAGGACTCACATTTGAATCTAAGTCTGTCTGACTTCATTTAACCACTAAGCTATATGTGCTCTTTCCAATGTTTCATATGTCTTATTGTTAAACAAAAAAGGCCCAGGATTTCGTTTTACTTGTGTATAGATCCTTAGAAAGTTCATCAGTTAAATGAGGAAAGAGTTTGTTGTGAAATAACATATTAAGACTCCCCTAAAGGCAAATTACAGAAACCCACTTTAAACTAGCCGGCATGGCTGGATGCAGATGCTCCAACAATAAATACTGTGCTCTTCTTCTCTGTGTCTCCTCCTTTCTCCCCTTCCTCTTTCCCCCTCCCTCCTTATCCCACTGCCCCATTCCCTCTCTCATTCTGCTTTTCTTTGAGTGTTGGCCCATTCTTTCTTGTAACAGAAGCAGCCCCAATTGAAACCAGCTCCACCTGTGATCCTAGGAAGAGAGAGCATCTTCTCTGGGAAGAAATGCCCTGGGGAAGACTCTTGGTCATGGGGACTGGGCGCTGTGACAGGACTTCGTGAACTACATGGATTGTAGCTGTTGGGGTGACAACATATCCATACTTCATCTTGATAAGACATATCATTTGATGGTTGAAAGCTGTAATTATTTTAAGATAATACACAATAGATTTTAATAGCTTTATCAAGATATAATTCACATACCATAGGACTTACCCATTTAAAGTGTACAGTTCAATGGTTTTAATGTATTCACAGTTGTGCAGCTATCACCACTGTCTAATCTGTAACATTTCCATCACCAAAAGAAACTTTGCACCTATTAGCAGTCACTCCCCATTTTTCCCAAGCCCCTCAGCCTTAAGCAACCACTCATCTACTTTCTGTCTCTATAGATTTGCCTATTTCAGACATTTTGTATGAGTGGGAATCATACGACATGCGGTCTTTTGTGTCTGACTTCTTTCATTAGCATGTTTTCAAGGTTTGTCTATCTTTGCATATCATCATGCATTTCTTATTATTGCCAAACATTCCATTATATGGATATACCACATTTTATTTGTCTGTCTGTTGATGGACATTTGGGTTGTTTTCACATTTTCGCAATTATGAATAATGCCACTGTGAACATTTGTGTAGAAGCTTAAGTTTTCAGTTCTTTTGTGTGTATACCTGGTAGTGGAATTGCTGGGTCATAGGATAACTGTGCCTAACATTTTGAGGAGCTGTTTTCAAAGTGACTGTACCATTTTACATTCTCACCATCAATGTGTGATGGTTCCAGTTTCTTTACATTAAATAATGGCCTGTTTACTTGTCTTCTTGCCTTGTATTGGAGTTCTCCCAGTGGGTTCTGAATCTGCTCCACCTCATCCAGTTGTCCAGGTAAGCAGACCATGTTGATCAAAGGATCAGAAGTGTATGTTTGTTTGTTTTTCTTTTTCTTTATAAATTTCATTATTTACAAACCTTGACAGGGATTATTCTTATTTTCATATTAAGAAAGAAGTTGTAAATACCAGAGGTTACTTGGTTGAGGTAGGAACAGGGATTTGTATTTAGGATTTATTAGGTGTTAGAGAGCTGCTTGCTTCAGATCTGCAGTGTCAGCCTACTTTGATATGATAGGTGGCATTCATATGACACACATTCTCACTTGTGTTCACTGTGTTATATGTAGTTCCCAGCAAACTAGTTGTATCTCTACTGTTTTTTTCCTAGAAATGTGAGGGCAAGAGTAATGTTTTAGGAATAATCTTTATTAAATTGTTCATAAACTTGACTTTTAATTTTCATTAGTATTAATTACTTGCAGCACACCAAAACTGAGCTGCTTTTCTGTGATTCACAATTGTTGCTTCTGACTACTTTATTATGCCGACTTTTGTTATCAGCCCTGTAGGGCTATTTAACATTCACCTTGAAGTCAGTATAAAATTTGATACTCTGGCAGTCTGTATTCAGAGATGCATAGATGGTCTTCCATCGGTGGCTTTCTCCCTAGCCCTAGAGCAGTCCATGTATCCAGACTCCATATTGAGTCTTGCCTTCTCAGCACAACATAAGAGAATCTATGTTGATCACACATTATGCAAAAATCTATGTTGATCTCTTGCCGCTGATTTGCCACATATCACTATATAGCTTGAAAGTCAAGAACTTGTGATTTAGAATTGCTGTTCAGCTCATGCTTAATATTTTAATGACATCAAGCAATAGCAAGAAGAGATTACACATATTGGCAGCACCTTCTAAACTTGGGATAATGTGGTGATCTCCGTAAGATAAAACAGGAGCTTGCAGGTATTTAACAACAGATTTTTGTAAAGCTGATAATGTGCCAGGGATAGGTGCTGGGGGATACAATAAACAAAATGGATAAAAATCTCTGTCCTTATAAAATGTACATCCCAGTGATTAATGATTTACTGTGAGATCATTTATAATGTGTAACATCCAGATAAAAAAACTATTGTGATTTTTTTTTGGTAGCAGTGTCTGAACACTTTAAAATTCTAAAAAAGAAAAGTAAGGAATTAAAAATGTTTAAATTGGTGCATTTAGCTAGTATATTATGTAAGTAATTATTGGCTAAGTACCCCAAAGACAAGGTATTACAGATCCCAATCTAATCATTAAAAGTTAACACTTTTTATATTGACCTGATCCTTATTGAAAAGTGTATTATTTTAGTGAGAGGCAGTGCAATCTCAAAATCAACATCATACCTCTAAATTGATAAGTTGATGTTGTATCAAATAGAAATTTCATGATAATGAGGCAGGTCAGTATTTGAATTTTTCAGTTCTTTAGAAGCATAATTTGAAGACTTGTAAAATTAATAGGACCGTTGAAATTGACTTTTATTTTTAAACATCAGACAGGTAATGTGCTGATGTAAAAAGGTTGAGGAAGAAGATTTGGAATCTTGTAAAATTAATAGGACAGTTGAAATTGACCTTTATTTTTAAACATCACACAGTAATGTGCTGATATTGTAAAAAAGTTTGGGTTTCCACACTCACATGTGAGTTATCACATGTGATATTTATCATCACATGTTGTCACATAAGTTATCATCACACTTAGGAATTACAAAAGGATCAAAATAGACCTTTTTTTTTTAAATGGATTTGGGTACTTTTTACCCAGTAGTACCAGGCACCTGGAGATGAATGCTTTCAAGTGAAATAAGAAAGGATCACAATTCTTATTTGGGCTAATGCTTCTGATAGGCACAGCAGGAATGAATGAATGAATAAATGAATGAATGAATCTTATTAGCATATATAATAAATAAGTAAAAAACTTTACAAGATAATTTTAGTTAGTGATAAGTACTGTAGAGTCAGTAAAATGGGGTCTATGATAAGCGAATTAGCTATTCACTTGAATACCTAGTAAATATCTAAACTTATTGTGGCCAAAAGGGAACTCCTGATTCCCCTCACCACCAGCTTCTCATCAGGGGATGCTTCTGTAGATTGTGAGGTCTGGGAAGCTTTTGAAGATGTTATTTGAGTTGAGATGTGAATGGTGAAGTATCTGTGTGCATTCCAGGTATGGAGGTGGGGAAGCATTGGCTTAGGGGTGGAAATGAGTTTAGTGTGTTGGAGACAGTCAGTATGAAATGTTGAAATGTAGCCAGAAAAGAGATAGTGGTAGATGTCAGGCTAGAGAGGTAGAAGCGGCCTTGATCTTTTAGGACAGCATAAAGAGTTAGGATTTCACTTTAATCGTGGCATTAAGTCTGTAGAGTGTTCTAGGTCTGGGGATTGATGGCCTCATGACTGTGGCTACTGCATAGAGGCAGAAGAGGAAATGGGGACCTTTCTGAGCTGTTGTCTGGGTAAGAAGCCATAGCAGCCATCTAGATGGAGCCTGGGTCAGCTTTGGCAATGTACTTTGCAGACAGAGCTAAAGAACTTAAGTGTGGATTCTATGTGGAAGGCAGGAGATGAGTAGTCAAGAGTTGATTTCTAAGTTTTGGTTGAGCAACTGAACGTGTGATGGTTCAGTTACTGAGATGGGGAAAATTGGAGGAGAAGTTGGTGGTGAGGGGAATCAGAAGATCCCTTTCGGACACAATAGATTTTAGATACTTATTAGATAGTCAAGTGAGGTAGCTTAGTGGGCAGTTGAATAAATGTGTGTAGTTCAGTGGCGACATCGACTAAAATGACAAAGGTAGGTGTCAGCAAAGTAGAGCTGACTTCAAAGCCATAAGACTGGATGAACTCCCTAAGGGGATGGGCTCTTCAGTTTACTTCCTTAAATTGAGAAAGTTGGACAGGATGGACTTTTTTTTTTTTCCTGCATTAATTCATTTTATTTTATTTTATTTTATTTTAATTTTATTTTATTATTTTTTAATTAATTAATTTATTATTATTATACTTTTAGGGTACATGTGCACAATGTGCAGGTTAGTTACGTATGTATACATGTGCCATGCTGGTGCGCTGCACCCACTAACTCATCATCTAGCATTAGGTATATCTCCCAATGCTATCCCTCCCCCCTCCCCCCACCCCACAACACTCCCCAGAGTGTGATGTTCCCCTTCCTGTGTCCATGTGTTCTCATTGTTCAATTCCCACCTATGAGTGAGAATATGCGGTGTTTGGTTTTTTGTTCTTGCGATAGTTTACTGAGAATGATGATTTCCAATTTCATCCATGTCCCTACAAAGGACATGAACTCATCATTTTTTATGGCTGCATAGTATTCCATGGTGTATATGTGCCACATTTTCTTAATCCAGTCTATCATTGTTGGACATCTGGGTTGGTTCCAAGTCTTTGCTATTGTGAATAATGCCGCAATAAACATACGTGTGCATGTGTCTTTATAGCAGCATGATTTATAGTCCTTTGGGTATATACCCAGTAATGGGATGGCTGGGTCAAATGGTATTTCTAGTTCTAGATCCTCGAGGAATCGCCACACTGACTTCCACAATGGTGGAACTAGTTTACAGTCCCACCAACAGTGTAAAAGTGTTCCTATTTCTCCACATCCTCTCCAGCACCTGTTGTTTCCTTTTTAATGATTGCCATTCTAACTGGTGTGAGATGATATCTCATAGTGGTTTTGATTTGCATTTCTCTGATGGCCAGTGATGGTGAGCATTTTTTCATGTGTTTTTTGGCTGCATAAATGTCTTCTTTTGAGAAGTGTCTGTTCATGTCCTTTGCCCACTTTTTGATGGGGTTGTTTGTTTTTTTCTTGTAAATTTGTTGGAGTTCATTGTAGATTCTGGATATTAGCCCTTTGTCAGATGAGTAGGTTGCGAAAATTTTCTCCCATTTTGTAGGTTGCCTGTTCACTCTGATGGTAGTTTCTTTTGCTGTGCAGAAGCTCTTTAGTTTAATTAGATCCCATTTGTCAATTTTGGCTTTTGTTGCCATTGCTTTTGGTGTTTTAGACATGAAGTCTTTGCCCATGCCTATGTCCTGAATGGTAATGCCTAGGTTTTCTTCTAGGGTTTTTATGGTTTTAGGTCTAACATTTAAGTCTTTAATCCATCTTGAATTGATTTTTGTATAAGGTGTCAGGAAGGGATCCAGTTGCAGCTTTCTACATATGGCTAGCCAGTTTTCCCAGCACCATTTATTAAATAGGGAATCCTTTCCCCATTGCTTGTTTTTCTCAGGTTTGTCAAAGATCAGATAGTTGTAGATATGCGGCGTTATTTCTGAGGGCTCTGTTCTGTTCCATTGATCTATATCTCTGTTTTGGTACCAGTACCATGCTGTTTTGGTTACTGTAGCCTTGTAGTATAGTTTGAAGTCAGGTAGTGTGATGCCTCCAGCTTTGTTCTTTTGCCTTAGGATTGACTTGGCGATGCGGGCTCTTTTTTGGTTCCATATGAACTTTAAAGTAGTTTTTTCCAATTCTGTGAAGAAAGTCATTGGTAGCTTGATTGGGATGCCATTGAATCTGTAAATTATCTTGGGCAGTATGGCCATTTTCACGATATTGATTCTTCCTACCCATGAGCATGGAATGTTATTCCATTTGTTTGTATCCTCTTTTATTTCCTTGAGCAGTGGTTTATAGTTCTCCTTGAAGAGGTCCTTCACATCCCTTGTACGTTGGATTCCTAGGTATTTTATTCTCTTTGAAGCTATTGTGAATGGGAGTTCACTCATGATTTGGCTGTCTGTTTGTCTGTTGTTGGTGTATATGAATGCTTGTGATTTTTGTACATTGATTTTGTATCCTGAGACTTTGCTGAAGTTGCTTATCAGCTTAAGGAGATTTTGGGCTGAGACAATGGGGTTTTCTAGATATACAGTCATGTCGTCTGCAAACAGGGACAATTTGACTTCCTCTTTTCCTAATTGAATACCCTTTATTTCCTTCTCCTGCCTAATTGCCCTGGCCAGAACTTCCAACACTATGTTGAATAGGAGTGGTGAGAGAGGGCATCCCTGTCTTGTGCCAGTTTTCAAAGGGAATGCTTCCAGTTTTTGCCCATTCAGTATGATATTGGCTGTGGGTTTGTCATAGATAGCTCTTATTATTTTGAAATACGTCCCATCAATACCTAATTTATTGAGAGTTTTTAGCATGAAGTCTTGTTGAATTTTGTCAAAGGCCTTTTCTGCACCTATTGAGATAATCATGTAGTTTTTGTCTTTGGTTCTGTTTATATGCTGGATTACACTTATAGATTTGCGTATATTGAACCAGCCTTGCATCCCAGGGATGAAGCCCACTTGATCATGGTGGATAAGCTTTTTGATGTGCTGCTGGATTTGGTTTGCCAGTATTTTATTGAGGATGTTTGCATCAATGTTCATCAAGGATATTGGTCTAAAATTCCCTTTTTTTGTTGTGTCTCTGCCAGGCTTTGGTATCAGGATGATGCTGGCCTCATAAAATGAGTTAGGGAGGATTCCCTCTTTTTCTATTGATTGGAATAGTTTCAGAAGGAATGGTACCAGTTCCTCCTTGTACCTCTGGTAGACTTCGGCTGTGAATCCATCTGGTCCTGGACTCTTTTTGGTTGGTAAGCTATTGATTATTGCCACAATTTCAGCTCCTGTTATTGGTCTATTCAGAGATTCAACTTCTTCCTGGTTTAGTCTTGGGAGAGTGTATGTGTCCAGAAATTTATCCATTTCTTCTAGATTTTCTAGTTTATTTGCGTAGAGGTGTTTGTAGTATTCTCTGATGGTAGTTTGTATTTCTGTGGGATCAGTGGTGATATCTCCTTTATCATTTTTTATTGCATCTATTTGATTCTTCTCTCTTTTTTTCTTTATTAGTGTTGCTAGCGGTCTATCAATTTTGTTGATCCTTTCAAAAAACCAGCTCCTGGATTCATTAATTTTTTGAAGGGTTTTTTGTGTCTCTATTTCCTTCAGTTCTGCTCTGATTTTAGTTATTTCTTGCCTTCTGCTAGCTTCTGAATGTGTTTGCTCTTGCTTTTCTAGTTCCTTTAATTGTGATGTTAGGGTGTCAATTTTGGATCTTTCCCGCTTTCTCTTGTGGGCATTTAGTGCTATAAATTTCCCTCTACACACTGCTTTGAATGCATCCCAGAGATTCTGGTATGTTGTGTCTTTGTTCTCATTGGTTTCAAAGAACATGTTTATTTCTGCCTTCATTTCGTTATGTACCCAGTAGTCATTCAGGAGCAGGTTGTTCAGTTTCCATGTAGTTGAGCGGTTTTGAGTGAGATTCTTAATCCTGAGTTCTGGTTTGATTGCACTGTGGTCTAAGAGATAGTTTGTTATAATTTCTGTTCTTTTACATTTGCTGAGGAGAGCTTTACTTCCAAGTATGTGGTCAATTTTGGAATAGGTGTGGTGTGGTGCTAAAAAAATGTATATTCTGTTGATTTGGGGTGGAGAGTTCTGTAGATGTCTATTAGGTCCGCTTGGTGCAGAGCTGAGTTCAATTCCTGGGTATCTTTGTTGACTTTCTGTCTCGTTGATCTGTCTAATGTTGACAGTGGGGTGTTAAAGTCTCCCATTATTAATGTGTGGGAGTCTAAGTCTCTTTGTAGGTCACTCAGGACTTGCTTTATGAATCTGGGTGCTCCTGTATTAGATGCATATATATTTAGGATAGTTAGCTCTTCTTGTTGAATTGATCACTTTACCATTATGTAATGGCCTTCTTTGTCTCTTTTGATCTTTGTTGGTTTAAAGTCTGTTTTATCAGAGACTAGGATTTTAACCCCTGCCTTTTTTTGTTTTCCATTTGCTTGGTAGATCTTCCTCCATCCTTTTATTTTGAGCATATGTGTGTCTCTGCATGTGAGATGGGTTTCCTGAATACAGCACACTGATGGGTCTTGACTCTTTATCCAATTTGCCAGTCTGTGTCTTTTAATTGGAGCATTTAGTCCATTTACATTTAAAGTTAATACTCTTATGTGTGAATATGATCCTGTCATTATGATGTTAGCTGGTTATTTTGCTCATTAGTTGATGCAGTTTCTTCCTAGTCTCGATGGTCTTTACATTTTGGCATGATTTTGCAGCGGCTGGTACCGCTTGTTCCTTTCCATGTTTAGCGCTTCCTTTAGGAGCTCTTTTAGGGCAGGCCTGGTGGTGACAAAATCTCTCAGCATTTGCTTGTCTCTAAAGTATTTTATTTCTCCTTCACTTATGAAGCTTAGTTTGGCTGGATATGAAATTCTGGGTTGAAAATTCTTTTCTTTAAGAATGTTGAATATTGGCCCCCACTCTCTTCTGGCCTGTAGAGTTTCTGCCGAGAGATCCACTGTTAGTCTGATGGGCTTCCCTTTGAGGGTAAGCCGACCTTTCTCTCTGGCTGCCCTTAACATTTTTTCCTTCATTTCAACTTTGGTGAATCTGACAATTACGTGTCTTGGAGTTGCTCTTCTCGAGGAGTATCTTTGTGGTGTTCTCTGTATTTCCTGATCTGAATGTTGGCCTGCCTTGCTAGATTGGGGAAGTTCTCCTGGATAATATCCTGCAGAGTGTTTTCCAACTTGGTTCCATTCTCCCCGTCACTTTCAGGTACACCAGTCAGACGTAGATTTGGTCTTTTCACATAGTCCCATATTTCTTGGAGGCTTTGCTCGTTTCTTTTTATTCTTTTTTCTCTAAACTTCCCTTCTCGCTTCATT
Source organism: Homo sapiens (assembly GCF_000001405.40). NCBI lineage: Eukaryota > Metazoa > Chordata > Mammalia > Primates > Hominidae > Homo > Homo sapiens. The sequence continues at coordinate 147,020 of NW_017852931.1, forward strand.
TCATTCATTTCATCTTCCATCGCTGATACCCTTTCTTCCAGTTGATCGCATTGGCTCCTGAGGCTTCTGCATTCTTCATGTAGTTCTCTAGCCTTGGTTTTCAGCTGCATCAGCTCCTTTAAGCACTTCTCTGTATTGGTTATTCTAGTTATACATTCTTCTAAATTTTTTTCAAAGTTTTCAACTTCTTTGCCTTTGGTTTAAATGTCCTCCCATAGCTCGGAGTAATTTGATCGTCTGAAGCCTTCTTCTCTCAGCTCGTCAAAGTCATTCTCCGTCCAGCTTTGTTCCGTTGCTGGTGAGGAACTGCGTTCCTTTGGAGGAGGAGAGTCGCTCTGCTTTTCAGAGTTTCCAGTTTTTCTGCTCTGTTTTTCCCCATCTTTGTGGTTTTATCTACTTTTGGTCTTTGACGATGGTGATGTACAGATGGGTTTTTGGTGTGGATGTCCTTTCTGTTTGTTAGTTTTCCTTCTAACAGACAGGACCCTCAGCTGCAGGTCTGTTGGAGTACCCGGCTGTGTGAGGTGTCAGTCTGCCCCTGCTGGGGGGGTGCCTCCCAGTTAGGCTGCTTGGGGGTCAGGGGTCAGGGACCCACTTGAGGAGGCAGTCTGCCCGTTCTCAGATCTCCAGCTGCATTCTGGGAGAACCACTGCTCTCTTCAAAGCTGTCAGACAGGGACATTTAAGTCAGCAGAGGTTACTGCTGTCTTTTTGTTTGTCTGCGCCCTGCCCCCAGAGGTGGAGCCTACAGAGGCAGGCAGGCCTCCTTGAGCTGTGGTGGGGTCCACCCAGTGGGAGCTTCCCAGCTGCTTTGTTTACCTAAGCAAGCCTGGGCAATGGCGGGCGCCCCTCCCCCAGCCTCGCTGCTGCCTTGCAGTTTGATCTCAGACTGTTGTGCTAGCAATCAGCGAGACTCCGTGGGCGTAGGACCCTCCAAGCCACGTGCGGGATATAATCTCCTGATGCGCCGTTTTTTAAGCCCGTCGGAAAAGCACAGTATTCGGGTGGGAGTGACCCGATTTTCCAGGTGCCGTCTGTCACCCCTTTCTTTGACTAGGAAAGGGAACTTCCTGACCCCTTGCGCTTCCCGAGTGAGGCAATGCCTCGCCCTGCTTCAGTGTGCATGGTGCGCACACCCACTGACCTGCGCCCGCTGTCTGGCGATCCCTAGTGAGATGAACCTGGTACCTCAGATGGAAATGCAGAAATCACCCGTCTTCTGCGTCGCTCACACTGGGAGCTGTAGACTGGAGCTGTTCCTATTCAGCCATCTTGGCTCCTCCCCAGGATGGTCTTTAAGGTCCCATCTTTTCCAAAAAGTGAGATGTTTATTGAATTTTAGAGAGTCTCTGTAAGAAACTTGAAATTGATGGGAATTTTCTGTAAAATGCTTTAGCTTCTTTTAAATCATGAAAAGGATGAATGGGAAGAAATACAGACATTTAAATATTCCACATCTGTATTCATTCTGAAATTGCTTGTCCACAAAACATGGTATGTAACTGTGATAAAATATCCTTCTGAAAGTGAAAATAATCTCCTTCGTATTGTAAATTTTCAGTTAAACCCAAATGCTGGTCAATGTGAACTTATTTTTATTAAAAAAATTTTAAACAGCTTTATTGAGGAGTAAGTGACACCCAAGCTGCACATATTAGAAGTGTAAAGTTTGATGTTTTGACATAGGTATCCACCCATAAAGCTATCACCACTGAAGATAATAGACATATTTGTCACCCCGACAGTTTCCTCTTACCCTTCAGTACTGTCTCCCTCCTGCCTCTGATCCACAGCCAGTCACTGATAAGGTTTTTATAACTGTAGATTAGTTTGCATTTTCTAATTTATATATTATATAAATAGAATCATGCGGTGGGTAATCTTCTTTTATTCTGGCTTCTTTCACTCAACATAATTATTTTGAGATTTATCCATGCTGTTTGTGTGTCAGTAGTTCATTTTTTTAATTCATTAAGTAATATCCTATTGTATGGATATACCAGATTCATTTTTGGAGTCATAATGAGGTTAGACTACCTTCTTTTTCCCTTCAGCAGGTCTTCTGATTTGCTGGCATTATTTGTAACCACCTGTGAGTCTAGAAAATTTGAGACAGGTCTCAGTTAATTTAGAAAGCTTATTTTGCCAAGGTTGAGGATGCATGCCCCTGATACAGCCTCAGGAAGTCCCGACGACATGTGCCCAGGGTGGCTGGGACACAGCTTAGTTTTATACATTTTAGGGAGACGTGAGACATCAGTCAACATATGTAAGAAGTACATTGGTTGGGTCCGGAAAGGCAGGACAACTTGAAGCAAACACAGGAAGACTTGAAGCTGGGAAGGAACTTCTAGGTCACAGATAGGTGAGAGAGGAATGGTTGCATTCTCTGAGTTTTTGATTAACCTTTCCAAAGGAGGCAGTCAGATATGCATCTATCTTAGTGAATAGAGGGGTGACTTTGAATAGAAGGAGAGGCAGGTTGGCCTTAAGCAGTTCCCAGCTTGACTTTTCCCTTTAGCTTGGTGATTTAGGGGCCCCAGTATTTATTTTCCTTTCACACACCTAAGAGACTAAATGTGTGAGTATATATACACACAGAGACACACTCCGAACTGTCTTTATAGAAGGGCTTCCTTGTTGTATTTATCCCCCTTCATCCTGTTCAGGGATGAGCTTCCTGGCTTTCATTTACCAGAGCAAGCTTGACAGTGTTGTGGATAGGAAGCAGGCCCACCCTTTCTATGTGTCTGTGTTCTGTGTGATTTTTGGGGATGTGTGTATGTTGTTGAGCTTTATTTTTTATCTGGATTGTGTTTAGTTCAGGAGGTCACCTGAAATAAAACTGAAGCTTCATAGTTTAGCCTTTACTTGGGCTTCATAGTTTAGCAGTTGTGAATGCAGTTAATCTAGTACCTTTAATTTCACAAGGGAGTATAAGTAAATTTTTTTCTCAGTTCATAGGAATTTTGTATAGTTGGTTAAGACACAGATCAAAAAGAGACAAACACTCATTCAGGTGGTAGGTAGATGCCTACCTTTAATCTCTGTGTTGTCTTGATTAAATCACTTGCTTTCTGCTTCTGTTTTTGTGCATTTGGAAAAGTTCACTGCTTTTTGGTTCATGTGGATGATCTGAGAATACACTTGGGGATTTGTGAGTTAATTACTCTCTGGCTGTTTTTAACATCATCAGTTTACCATGGAGTTTAAGGATGTTTGGGCTTTAGCCTGGCAGTTCTCTGTGCTGTTGTCTGGGGTTGTCTGGGGAGGAAGAGAGGATGTTGTGTCTGATATCTACAGGCCTGTCCTGGCAGAATAGGGCCTCTCACTGGCTGAACTGGGTGTGTTTGGTTTATGTGGGATTAGAATGCACAGTGGCCATATAATTCAGGAGACAAGAAAGAGCCTTGAGAGGAATGTCAAATAAATCTCTCTACTTTGTGTACTCATGATGCTTGTTCTCTATGTAATAAAAGACTTAGTGATCATCATTTGTATTGTTCATTTAATTGTCCTTTTACTAGCCTGTAAGTTTTGTGAGTGCAGGGACAACCATGTCTGTGTTCATCCATTATACTTATACAAGAAGTACTTACTGAATGTTGAATAAGGTGTCTTTATGCTTCTTGTATTTATTTTACATTTGTAGTTATAGAGTTTCTAATTGTAGGAATTAATATTAACATCTTTAAGCCCTTTAGGAAAGATGGAAGGTAAATATGAACTGTTTATTAGTCTGCTCCCCTTGACTTTAAGCAAACTCTTGAAGCATGATTCTCCCCCTCCCTCATTTTTTCTTTCAGTGAATGAAAAGCACAAATGGAGCCAGGCCTTCCACTCAGGGATTGGTAGGAATGCAAAGATGAATAAAATTGTTCCCAAGCCTTAAGAAGCTCACAGTCTAAATGGAAAGTCAACCTTATAGGCCAGTGACAATTTAATATAAGCACTTACAGAAATTATTTTAAAAGTATTTTGGGAGCCCAGAAAATATGAATAAAGGCTCTTGTTTCTAGCTTGAGGAGCTGGGTAGAAGTGACCCCATTAAGTAAAATAGGAGATCCAGGAGGAAAGGAGGCAGATTTGATAGGATGAGGAGACAGGTTAGGGTGCAAGTGCAGTAAGAATTCAGTTTTGGGTGATTTTAGTTTGATTTTTCTGCAGAATGTTATTTTTTTTTCTAGGTAATTTGTAGATTTTTATGCTGGTTTATAAAAAGCTCTTTCCCCAATTGGTAGCTTTGAATTCATCTTCAGTATTTATGGGGAAGTCATAGTTCTTGAATCAGATGTTCTGCATTACCTTACCAAAGTTGACTCTACCAGTAGTGAAGCCAACAAGGAAAAAGATCTGCTGCTATGGATATCTAAAAGACCATTTCATGTTAGTACTTACGGGACTGCCTCATTCTTTGTGTTGGCTGTAGAGCGTTCATTCCATCGACTGAATGTAACATGCTTTAGTAGTCCCCATCTTTTCCACTTTTCCTATTATATCAGTGCTGAAATACATATGCATAAATGTAAATACATCATCTCTCACATTTCTAAATTGTTCTCCATTAATATTATATCGATATATACTTTTACCAACAATGTTTTAGTGTGCCTGTTTCCTTATACCCTCACCAGTGCAGAGTGCTACTAAAGTTTATCTGATAGGTGAAAATGTTATTTTATTCTGATTTTTAACTTCCATTTCTCTTATTATAGAGTTTGGGCATCTTTTCATATGAATGAGTCATTTGTAATTCTTTTTCTCAGAGCTGACTGTGCCTATACTCTACCTATTTTTCTGTTATATGGTTACTGTTTTATTATTGATATGTAGGAACTTTAGATATATTAAGGAAATAAGCTCTTGGCGATGTGACATACTGTTGCTTTTAAGTTTGTTGTTTGTCCTTTGACTTTGCTTACCGTGTTTTGCCATGAGGGATATTTTTATATTTATGTAATGGAATTGTACTAATTTTAAAAATTGCTTCCAAATTTTGTGTTACACTCAAAACATTTCAGATATTACCTTTATCATATTCTGAATACCTGTTATGTGTTTGACTCTATCTCGGGAATTCCAGTTATATTTTATTGATCTATCTGCTTATTTGCTCATCATTCTAGCTTTTAAAAAGATTTGTTCTAGTCTCTGAAAGTGCAGTCAATCCACCGTCATTACAAATTTCTTGGCTATCTCACATGTTTATATTTCTCTATTAATTTTTAAATTGACTTTTGTTTTTAAAAAAGCCTATTGACATTTTTATTGTATGGACTTATATTTAATGATTAACATAAGGAGAAATGAACATCTTTATGATTCTGAGTCTTCCTGTCCAAGAATGGTGTGCTTTTTCCCTTTATTCAAGTGAAGCTCTTTGAGCAGGGGTACCTGCTTTGGACAGTTATGTGAACCTCTGTTTCATTATAGCCATTACCTATATTTGAGTCTAATACATAAGATTTAACAAAAAACTAAAAAGCCAATATTTGTGTAACCACCCTGGGCAAAAAGTAGAGTATTACCAGCCCACAAAATTTCCCTGTTTGTCTGTCACTATTGTAACCTGTTCTCTCCTTTCATAGGTAATACTTTAGTGACTTCAGTGATAATCACTTTCATGTTCTTCTTTATAATTTTATGAATTTTGTAAGCATTCCTAGACAAATGGTTTATTACTTGCTTTTCGGAACTTCTGTGAAATAGGTTTATATGTTACAATGTATTCTGAATTGATTCAATGGATGTATGGTTTCTTCTGCACAACATTATGTGTTGAAGTCAGTTCATATTTTTATAAGGAGTTATAGTTCTTTCGCTTTCATTTTTCTGTGTAGTTTCCCATTGTGTGGATATACCACAATATATTTAGCCATTTTGCTGTTAATGTTTTTTTTTTCTTTTTGCATTTGGCTATGATGAACAACATCGTGTTGAATATTCTTGTACATGTATCTCCTACCCCATGTTAAACATGTGGGTATTGGAGTGGTTGGTCACTATTTTCAATCCTGTAAGAAAATGCTGAGCTTTTTTCTAAAGTAATTTTTGGCCATGTGTGAGAAATCCCATTGCTCTGCATCATAGTGTATCTTGGTATTGTGAGACTTTAAAATTTGGACAATCTGGTGGGTGTATAATGGTGTCTTATTTCTGTTTAATTTGTATATTTGTATTATAAAGATTTAAAAAGTGGTTCATTCCTTTGCCTTTGGGTCCTATCATCTCTTGTTGACTTTGAGGTTGGTTTGTGGGCAAGAGCTTTGTTGATGAGGACACTTGTTTTCTAAACATAGTTACACAAGAGTTTTGCCTGGGAAATTTAAAAATAATTCAGACTCCCATTTCAAACTTGGAGAATAAAAAGTTTTGGAGCTAGTATCCAATAATCTATTTCTAATTAGCTGTCTGAGTGATTATTAAACAGCTAGACTTAGATAGATTCCAGCACAGGGCCCTTGAAACTGATGGTTGTTCTGTCTATCTATACTATTTTTTCCAAGTCTGTCATGTATTTAGCATTTAAAACACACCTGAATTTGTAATAGCCACATACAAGTGCTCATGGCCCCGTGTGGCTAGTGGCTATTATATTGAATAGTACAGATCTGTTTAGAAAATTGCTCAATGATCAGTGTTTAGTTTGGTGTGCATTTTGGACTTTTGATATGCAATTTGATCTTTGGCATCAGGTTGTATACTTCATGCCTCCCCACTCCCCTTCCCATCAAAGCAGGGTCTCACAAAGACTGGCCATTCACCTTGGGAGGGACTGGTTAAGAATGTATGTTATCCAAAATCCATTTATGTTGTTAAAAAAATAACATTAACCACATTTTGCATTCCATCAGTAGGGATGTGGATGTAACAATTGATTTTTTTTGGCTGCTTTTATTGATTTGTTGAAGATTGTAATCACTTTGAGCTATCTTGAAATTTAAAGTCTTTTTAGTCTATTATGTTAATTTTTGGCTTATTGTAGAATGCTTAATTCTGATGTAGAGGTAATTAGCAAGCTTTTGTTGGGCATATGTGAAAGTTGTTGGGCATGTGGCTAGAGGCTATCATATTGAACAGTGATACGCTTTCAATGTGCTCAGAAAATTGCTCAGCTAAGTATAAGTGGGTGGTTTGATATGGATTTTGAACATGCCAGAAACTCCCTTCTCAAGTAAGAGGGAGGAAATTTAAAGCCTAAAAAGATAGAGAAAATATACAATCTATTGTAGAGACAGAATGTGAATTTGGGAATAACATTTTTATATTTTCTCAGCCACACTTTAATTAAAGTGTAAGCACCTTTAGTAAAAATAAGAAAATAGTAAGATCAGGTTCAACTTTGGAGCTAAAAGGAAAGCTGTGTAAGATGGAGAGCACAGAGGTTGAGGTCTCAAATCTGCCATCCTTGCTGTTTCCTTTTAAAGTGGAAATAGCACTGATCTCACATGAGCATTGAGGTTAACTTAGATTTCATGAAAGGTAATAACATTTGTCTATTATAAATTTTATATAATATTATATATATATAAACCGTAGCTGTGTGTTAGTCTTCAGGGCAAAAAGCTTCCCTTTCGATTTTTGGAGGTCCACTTTCCTGTGTTCTCTCTCACTGTCTGTCTCTCTCTCCTGCATGCATTTGCCTCCCCAGTCCTGCCCCACCCATAAAAGGATGATTAAGATACTTTTGTTTGGGAAAGTTTTACATTGAAGACCTTTCAGAAGTTATTTGAATGTCTGGGTTTGTATTTCTTCTCATCTTTTCTAGTGAAGTAACAGTCTTGACTTCTTCATCTGAATGTCCTATAGATTTTTTTCTTGATATGAATGATGCTGCTCCCTCTTCCTAGAGCCCCTGCCATGGTCTGGCTGTCCTTGTCCTTCCTAGCTCAGTTACAAGGCCCAGTACCAGGTATGCTTTTGGGAGGCTCCCTTGCTCCCTGCCGACCCGCTTCCTGTCAGGGAATTGACTGCTACTTCCTCTGGGTTGCTCCTAGGTCTTTGCTTGGCTAGCATTTAATAAGTTATACTCCAGCTTTGTGTCTGTGACTTCGTCCCCTTGTTCTTTCAGAACCACGTCTTTGTATCTCCTGTACAGTTATCCTGGCAGTTACTGGATAAATGTGTGACTTAAGCTTCATGACTTTAGATAGGTCACTTAAGCACTGAGACCTAGTCTCCTCAGCTTTAAAATGTGGCTTTCTGCCTCTTGACTTTCACTGATGTCGTCAATAAAGTTGCAGTTGCCAAATCAGATGGCTGGGTTTGGACTTTGTGTCCTATGACATTAGACAGTGACCACTGCTTCTTGACCCTCCAGGTCTACTCATTCTTATGCTTCTTAAAAGATTGATCCTCTGCCACTCTTGGTACTTGGCCTTGGATGTGTCCTTTGCAGGTCTTTAGGATTCTGCCTTATGTCTTGTCTTTCTGTAGCTTTACTTCAGCTGTGTCCATCACTTCCAGATTCACATTTGTCTTGATGACTCCAGACCAGTCTTCCCAAACCACATGTGGAGTGTGCACACGTGTCCCCTGGGTGGTCTCAAACTAAGCATATCCGAGGTGGAATTCATTCTTCCCCTGGAACTACTCTTCCTCTCTGCATTTCCCAATCTCGATTAATGTTGTCATCATCCATGAACGTTCCCATTTTTTAATCCCCCCTCATCTGGTGACTGGTCCTGACAGATCCAGTCCCAAGTACTCTTTGAATTTGTCCTCTCTTCCATCCTCCAGCAGCTCCAGGCCTTCCTTTCTCACGGGGACTGGAATGGCAGCCTCCTGACCTGCTGCTCCTGCACACTCAGTGTCCCGTTCCTTCCTTTGTGGAAGCAGAGGGCCAGTCACATCACTTTCTTATTTTAAAAATCTTCAATGGTTTTGTCATCACTAAGGGCTCAAATGCCTTGGCATGGTATACAAAGCCCCTCACTTCTGAACCATCCACCTTCCAGCTTCATCTTTCAAGATCCCTTTCCACTCTGTGCTCATTTGAGCTTTCATGTCCAAGTGCTTCCTTCACGTTGTTTTCTTCATTAGAATGCTCTTTCCCTTATTGTCCAACACAGTGGTTCTCACACCTTGAGGATTATGGGAACTTGTGTTTTATTTTTTAATATATACTTTCGGTCCTATTCCCCCAAAGATTTTGATTCAGTATCTGGGTTGAGGCCTGTTCTCATTTTATCTGAAAGATGGCAATGTTGAAAGAGGTGATTACAAAAATTTTATAAAATTCTACAGATACGTTGTCCTAGAATGCTTCTAAGTAATTACACTGTGTTTTGTAGTGTAAAAATATATAGAAATTGATAGTGGGAGGGAGAGCATCTCAGTGGTTACGGAGATCAACTGGAGTGGAATCTGCTGCTCTGACCCAGTGTGCTCGCCATGCACTCCTTCAGGCATTCCTTTGTGAGACATGGTTTCCCTCAGTTGCCCAGGCTAGAGTACGGTGGCGCGACCTCGGCTAATTGCAACCTCCGCCTCCCAGGTTCAAGTGATTCTTATGCCTCAGCCTCCCGAGTAGCTGGGATTACAGGCATGTGCCACAATGCCAAGCTAATTTTTGTATTATTAGTAGAGATAAGGTTTCGCTATTTTGGCCAGGCTGGTCTCGAACTCCTGACCTCAAGTAATCTGCCTGCCTCGGTCTCCCAAAATGTTGGGATTACAGGCGTGAGCCACTGCACCCGGCCCTTTGTGGTGTCTCCAAGGACTTTCTGCATAACCTTTAAAAAGGCGTTGTAATGTTGGGTTGAGTTTCTTCTGTATATGCTTGTGTTTTCTGTTATATTCTTGAGTCATCCTAAGCTATGATTGAGAGTTGTGCATGTTTAGATTTCCCGTGTTTGCCCATAGTAGATGCTCAGTGAATTTTTGTTAATTAAGAGCTATTTGGAAGAAAAAGAAGAGATATTTGAAACAAGGTTTTTAAATAGCAAAATGGAAACTCAGAAATGACAGATAAAGAATTC